>NC_000003.12:164160119-164311634 GCF_000001405.40 Homo sapiens | reverse complement strand
TAATTCACCTGTGTATCTATCTGGTCCTGGACTATTTTTTGTTGGCAGTTTTTTTATTACTGTTTCAAACTTGCTGCTTGTTATTGGTATGTCCGGAGTTTGTATATCTTCCTGGTTTAATCTGGAAAAGTTGTATGTTTCCAGGAATTTATCCATCACCTCTAAATTTTCTAGTTTATGTGCATAAAGGTGTTTATAGTAGCCTTGAATATTCTTTTGTATTTCTGTGCTATTGAGAGGCGAAGCTGGCTGGGCTTCTGGGTTAGGTGGGGACTTAGAGAACTTTTCTGTCTAGCTAAAGGATTGAAAACATACCAGTCAGCGCTCTGTGTCTAGCTAAAGATTTGTAAATGCACCAATCAGCACTCTTTAAAAACGGACCAATCAGCACTCTGTAAAATGGACCAATCAGTGCTCTGTAAAATGGACAAATCAGCAGGACATGGGTGGGGCCAAATAAGGGAATAAAAGCTGGCCACCTGAGCCAGCAGTGGGCAACCTCCTCAGGTCCCCTTCCATGCTGTGGAAGCTTTGTTTCGCTCTTCACAGTAAATCTTGCTGCTGCTCACTCTTTGGGTCCGCGCTATCTTTGTGAGCTGTAACACTCACTGCAAAGGTCTGCGGCTTCACTCCTGAAGTCAGTGAGACCACAAACCCACCAGAAGGAAGAAACTCTGGACACATCTGAACATTGGATGGAACAAACTCCGGACATACCATCTTTAAGAACTGTAACACTCACCGTGAGGGTCTGTGGCTTCATGGGTGATGTCAGCGAGTCCAAGAACCCACTGGAAGGAACCAATTCTGGACACACTATCAGTAGTGATATCGTTTGGGTGTGTCTCTACCCAAATCTCATCTTGAATTGTAGCTCCCGTAATCCTCACATGTTGTGGGAGAAACCTGATGCGTGTAACTGAATCATGGGAGTGGGTTTTTCCCATTCCATTCTCATGACAGTGAATAAGTCTCAGGATAACTGATGGTATTATAAAAGGGCAATTCCCTTGCACATGCCCTCTTGCCTGCCACCATGTAAGATGTGCCTTTGCTACTCTTTCATCTTCTGCCATGATTATGAGGCCTCCCCAGCCATGTGGAAGTGTGAGTCTATTAAACCTCTTTTTCTTTATAAATTACCCAGTCTCAGGTATTTCTTCATAGCAGTATGAAAATGAACAAATAGAGTAAATTGGTACTGGTAGAGTGAGGTACTTCTTTTAAGATACCCAAAAATGTGGAAGTGACTTAGGAACTGGGTAACAGTCAAAGATTGGAACAATTTGGAGGGCTCAGAAGAAGACAGGAAGATGTTGGAAAGTTTGGAGCTTCCTAGAGACTTGCTGAATGGTTTTGACCAAAAAGCTCCAGGCTGAGGTGGTCTCAGACAGAAATGAGGAACTTTTGGGAACTGGAATGAAGGTGACCCTTTTTATGCTTTAGCAAAGAGAATGGAGGCATTTTGCCCCTGCCCTAGACATCTGTGGAACTTTCAACTTCAGAGAGATGATTTAGGGTATCTGGCAAAAGAAATTTCTAAGCAGCAAAGTGTTCAACAGGTGACCTGGGTAGAAAATTTGCAGCCTGATGATGTGATAGAAAAGAAAGACCCATTTTCTGAGGAGAAATTCTAGCAGGCTGCACAAATTTGCATAAGTAACAAGGAGCCAAAATTTAATTACTGAGACAGTGGGGGAAATTGTCTCCAGGGCATGTCAGAGATCTTCACAGTGGTTCCTCCCATCACAGGCCAAGAGAGTTAGGAGGAAAACATGGTTTCATGGGCCAGCCCCAGGGCCTTGAGGCTTTGTGTAGTCTTGGGACTTGGTGTCCTACATCCTGGTTGTAGTTAAAAGGAGCCAATGTACAGCTAAGGCAGTTGCTTCAGAAGGTGCAAGCCCCAAGCCTTGGTGGCTTATACATGGTGTTGGGCACCTGTGGGTGTATAGAAATCAGGAATTGAGGAATGGGAACTTCTGCCTAGATTTCAGAGTATATATGGATCCACCTAGATGTCCAGGCAGAGGTGTGCTGCAGGGGTGGGTCTCTCATGGAGAAGCTCTGTTAGGACAGTGCAGAAGGGAAATGTGGGGTCAGAGCTCCTGCACAGAGTCCTTACTGGAGCACTGACTAGTGGAGCTGTGAGAAGAGGGCCATCGTCCTCCTGATCCCAAAATGGTAGATTCTTCAATTGCTTGCATCATTTGCCTGGGAAAGCTGCAGACACTCAACACCAGCCAATGTAAGCATCCAGGAGGGGAGCTGTACACTGCAAAGCCACAGTGGTGAGGCTGCCTAAGGCCATAAGAGCCCACTTCTCGCATCAGCATGATCTGGAAGTGATACATGGAGTCAAAGGAGGTCATTTTGGAGCTTTAAGATTTGACTGTCCTGCTGGATTTTGGACTGGCATGATCCCGTAGTCCCTTCGTTTTGGCCCATTTCTCCAATTTGGAACATGTGTACTTACCCAATGCCTGTACCTTCATTTTATCTAGAAAACAAATAACTTGCTTTTAATTTTACAGACTCATAGGCAGAAGGGACTTGCCTTGTCTTAAGTAAGACTTTGGACTTGGACTTTTGAATTAGTGCTGGAATTACCTAAGACTTTGGGGGACTGTTGGGAAGGTATGATTGGTTTTGAAATGTGAGGACATGAGAATTAAGAGGGGTCAGGGTAAAATGATATGGTTTTGCTGTGTGCCCACCCATCTCTCATCTTGAATTGTGGCTCCCCTAATCCCCATATGTCATGAGAGGGACCTGGTGGGAGGCAATTGAATCATGGGGGTCAGTTTTCTCTGAGCTGTTCTTGTGACAGTGAATAATTTTCATGAGAACTGATGGCTTTATGAAAGGGCAGTTCCTCTGCACACACCCTCTTGCCTTCTGCCATGTAAGACATGCCTTTGCTCCTCCTTCGCTGTCTCTCATGACTGTGAAACCTCCTCAGCCATGTGGAACTGTGAGTCCATTAAACCTCTTTTTCTTTATAAATTACCAAGTCTTGGTATTTCCTCACAGCAGTGTGAAAGTGGACTAATATAAGTTGCAATGTCTCCTGTTTTGTTTCAAAATGAGCTTATTTGGATCTTCTGTTTTTTCTTGGTTAATCTTGCTAATGTTCTATGAATGTTATTTATCTTTTCAAATACACAGCTTTTGTTTTATTTATGTTTTATGTTCTTTTTGTTTTAATTTCTTTTAGTTCTGGTCTGATGTTGGTTACTTATTTTCTTCTGCTGGGTTTGGGTTTGGATTGTTCTTGTTTTCCCAGGTTTGTGAGGTATGACCTTAAATTGTCTATTTGTGCTCTTTCAGACTTTTTGATATAGCCATTTAATGCTATAAACTTTCCTCTTAGCACTGGTTTTGCAGTATCCCAGAGATTTTGATAGGTTGTGTCACTATTATTCAGTTCAAAGAATTTTTTAATTTCCATCTCGATTTCATTGTTGCCCCAATGATCATTCAGGAGAAGGTTATTTAATTTCCAAGTATTTGCATGGTTTTGAGGGTTCCTTTTAGAGTAGATTTTCAATTTTATTCCACTGTGATCTGAGAGAATACTTGAAATAAATTCAGTTTTCTTAAATTTACTGAGACTTGATTTGTAACATATCATACAGTCTATCTTGGAGAATATTTCATATTCAGATGAATACAATACATACTCTGCAGTTGTTGAGTAGAATATTCTGTAAATACCTGTTAAGTCCATTTGTTGTTAGGGTATTATTTAAGTCCATGGTTTCTCTGTTGACTTTCTGTCTTGATGACTTGTCTAGTGCTCTCAGTGGAGTATTGAAGTCCTCTATCATTGTTGTGTTACCATCTGACTCATTTCTTTGGTTTAGTAGTAATAGTTTTATATATCTGGAAGCTCCAGTGTTAGTTGTATTTACATATTTAGGATTGTGATATTTTCCTGTTGTACCAATCCTTTTATCATTACATAATGTCCCTCTTTGTCTTTTTTAATTGATATTGCCTTAAAGTTTGTGTCATCTAATATAAGAATAGCTATTCCTGCTTGCTTTTCGTGTCCATTTTCATGGAATAGCTTTTTCCACCACTTTACCTTAATCTTATTTGAGTCCTTATGTGTTAGGTGAGTCTGCTGAAGACAGCAGAAACTTGGCTGTTGAATTTTTATTTTGCCATTCTGTATTTATTAATTTGAGCATTTAGGCCATTTACATTGAACATTAGCATTGAGATCTGAGGTACTACTCTATTTATTGTGCTACATGGTACCTGATAACATTTTTTCTTTACATTGTGCCTTTGTTTTATAGGTCCTGTGAGATTTATGCTTTAAATAAGTTCTATTTTGGGGTATTTTGTTAATTTGTTTCAAGATTGAGAGCTTCTTTTAGTAGTTCTTGTAGTGTTGGCCTGGTGGTGGCAAATTCTCTCAGCCTTTGCTTGTCTGGAAAAGACTGTGTCTTTCCCTCATTTAGGAAGCTTAGTTTTGCTGGATACAAAATTTATGCCTGAATTATTTCCTCAAATATGTTTTTCAAACATTTAGATTTCCCTTCTTCCTTGGGAACACAAATTATTCTTAGGTTTGGACATTTAACATAGTCCCAAAATTCTTGGAGGCTTTGTTTCATTTTTTTGAAAATTATTTTTTTCTGTGACTTTGATGGGTTGGGTTAATTTGAAAGATTTGTCTTTGAGCTCTGACATCTTTCTTCAGCTTGTTCTATTCTATTGTTCAGGCTTTCCAATGCATTTTGCATTATGTGAAGTGTGTCTTTGATTTCCATAAGTTGTGATTGCCTTTTATGCTATTTATTATACTGAATATTTTTCTATTCATATCCTGTATCATGTTTTTGATTTCTTTAAATTGGACTTTTTCCTTCTCTGGTGCCTCTTTGATTAGCTTAATAATCGACTTACTGAATTCTTTTTCTGACAATTCAGAGATTTTGTCTTGGTTTGGATCTATTGCTGGTGATCTGGTATGATCTTTTGGGTGTGTTAAAGAAACTTGTTTAGTCATGTTACCAGAATTGTTTTTCTGGTTCCTTCTTATTTGGGTAGACTATGTAAGAGGGAAGGTCTGGGACTGAAGGGCTGCTGTTCATATTTTTTTGTCCCACAGTGTGCTCTCATGATGTTCTCTCCCTTCCTCTAGGGATGGGGCTTCCTGGGAGCCAAACTTCAGTGATTGGTTTTGCTTTTCTGGGTCTAGCCACCTAGCAGAGTTACTAGGCTCCAGGCTAGTACTGGGGAGTGTCTGCAAAGGGTCCTATGATGTGATTTGTCTTCAGGTCTTTTAGCCACAGATACCAGCACCTGCTCCAGTGGAGGTAGCAAGGGAGGGAAATGGACTTTGTGAGGATCCTTCTTTGTATATTTGTCTAGTGCACTGGCTTGTGTTTGTTGGCTTCCAGCCAAGAGGTGGCACTTTCAAGAACTCATCACCTGCAGTACTACAGGGAGGATGCAAACTTGCCTTAAGTTTGCTTGGTTAAGTATTCAGGTTTCTCAGGCAATGGGCAGAGCCATAGAGCCCCCAAGAGATTATGTCCTTTGTCTTTGGCAACCAGGCAGGTAGAGAAAGACCACCAGGTGGGGACATGGATAGGTGTGTCTGAGCTCAGATTCTTTGGGTAGGGCTTGCTGTAGCTGCTGTAGGGGATAGGGGTATGGTTTTCAGGCCAATGGAGTTATGTTTCCAGGAGGATTATGGCTGCATCTGCTGAGTCATACAGGTCACCAGTGAAGTGGGGGAAAGCCAGCAGTCGCAGACCTCACCCTACTCCCATGCAGCCCAAAGTCCTAAAGGCTGGTCTGACTCCCACCATGCCCCTCCACCTAAGCCTATTTCCAGGCAGCTGGTGACCAGGGCTGAGAACTTTCCCAAGACCACCAGCCTCCCCTCAGAAAGCAAGGCTCACAGTTTTTTGGCATCTCAAGGAGACTGCAGTGGTAATCTAGTTGCTTCAAATGGTCTGTGGATTCTCTCAGCTTTCCTGGTACGTTCCTCTGGTAGTTCTTGGAACAAAAGTTAGTGATGTGAGTCTCCACACACTGCTCTGTCTGTCTAAGTGGGAGCTGCAACCTAGTCCTGCCTCCTATACTAATCTCACTCTTTTTTACAACTGCATAAGTATTTCATGGTTTAGATGTACCACAAACAGAATGGGAGAAAATTTTTGAGAATACTATGCATCTGACAAAAATCTAAAATCCAGTATCTATAAGAAACTTAAACAAATTTACAAGAAAAAAAAAACCTCATAAAAAGCGGGCAAAGAACATGAACAGACACTTTTCAAAAGCCGACCTACATGTGGCCAACAGTCATATGAGAAAAAGCTAAACATTACTGATCATTAGAGAAATGTAAATCAAAACCGCAATCAGATACCATCTCACACTAGTCAGAATAGCTACTATTAAAAAGTCAAAAAATAACAGATGCTGTCAAGGTCGTGGAGAGAGAGGAACAATTATTACACTGCTGGTGAGAGTGTAAATTAGTTTCCCAACAACCATTGTGGAAGACAGTGTGGTGATTCCTCAAAGGCCAAGAGATAGAAACACTATTTGACTCAGCAATCCTATTACTGGGTATATACCCAAAAGAATATAAATTATTCTATTATAAAAACACACTTTCGTGTATGTTTATTACAGCATTGTTCACAATAGCAAGCACATGGAATCAACCTAAATGCTCATCAATCATAGACTAGGACAACAATTTTTTTTTTTTTGAAATGGAGTTTCACTCTGTCACCAGGCTGGAGGGCGGTGGTGCAATCTCAGCTCACTACAATCTGTGCCTCCTGGGTTCAAATGATTCTCCTGCCTCAGCCTCCTGAGTAGCTCGGACTACAGGTACATGCCACCACACCCAGCTCATTTTTTTATTTTTAGTAGAGACAGGGTTTCACCATGTTGGCCAGGATGGTCTCAATCTCTTGACCTCATGATCCACCCGCCTTGGCCTCCCAAAGTGCTGGGATTACAGGTGTGAGCCACTGTGCCTGGCGAACAATTTTTAAACATATGTTATTTCCAAAGATCATCTACCTGAATGCCCATAAATTATAGATTAGAATAACAATTATAAAAAACGTATTATTTCCAAATGTTGTGACTAATATCAACTGGAAAGTTAACAATATCTGGCTTTAAATAGTTACATCATATGTCACTTAAGAGAGAATGGAGCTACTGATAAGAACTAACTCAGCCTACAGATATTAAAATATATGTTTAATTTTTTTTATAAACTATATATCTGGAGGTAAGTGGCTTAATAGCTTAAAAATCAGATTTGGTACTCAGAAATTCTTTTGTCCTTTATGTATGTTACAGTATAGCTTTAATATGGTAGCTGATGTTTTAGGTATAATATTTGAATTATGAAAGAAAGAACGGGAACACAAGGTCTGTCCCTTTTATTATAAGTAAGAAAAAACAAGAAAAGATAAAGGCAGCATGCTTCTGACTTCCTCCATTGGGAACTGTATCAATTGGCAACATTTACACACAAGGGAGGCCAAGACTGTGACATTTTTATTCTCCAGACTCAATTGTAAAAGTCAAGAAAGAACTATGCTGAAAATATATATTTGTCTAGCCAAAGAAAATTATCTTCCTCATTATTATTCTAATTTGGAAAATTTGAATTGCTCTTTCTTAGCATTCCCTAGCACCTTTCTCAATTTTCACAGTTCCTCATCATTGATAATAATGATAACAATGATGACTCTTTTGAATGTTTCTTTCATATCATGTGATAAGAACAATTTATTATTATTTAAACCACACAGATTCTTATTAATTGAATGTTGGTATTCCAATTTTGAATATTAACTAAATGAGGCCCAGACATGTTAAATTCTTTAATCATTATACTGAATTAATACACAAAAAGAACTGTGATTTAATACCAGTTCATATCTAAGATTTCAAAGACCAAAGTACTGATTTTATGGAGTTAATCAAATAAAGTATTTTTTGAAAATGATGGCATTTGAGACCCAGACATATTAAATACCTCACCTAACTGATGGAATTAATAGTTGAAAGTCAACTGGTTCCATTATTAGTCGATCTATTCCAAATAATAAATATCTGTAATACATATTGTGAAAAAGTTTTACAGTTCATTATTGAATTAATGTATATAGTTTGGTCATTTATATCATTTTTATCAACAGAATTCTACATATTGCCACATACCAGTTCCAGTAATTTTGAATAAATATGTGATTGCTGAAGAAACAAAGCAGCTGAGCCATTAGTACTCAATGTTAAAAGAAAAGCCATATCCAATTTTGGATTGTTTTTGCTTTCCTATATTGTAAATTTACTGATATCAGAAACTACCACCAGTAGTAAAATACTGTACCTTGGGACCAATGCAGAAAACCAAGTAACAATTAGAATTTGGTTAAACAAAGACCTTCCACTACTTCCTTGTGTAATATTACCCATAGCAGTAGTAATATTCCAAAAATTCTGAGTTTCTTTCCTGTTTGTTTTAGAGATGATTCTAGTTTAAAATATAAATAATATACACTTCCAATATTAACTTTTATCATGTTCAAAATTCATAATATCTTCTCCATTGTTGGAAGGATTCTGAATTTGAGACTCACCTTTGTATGTATTTGCATTTTGTATTTTCTCTGGAGGCTTGCTAATGTACAGCATAAATGAATTTATCTTACACAATGCAATCAAAACCCTGCATTGATATGGGTTTTTGTTGTTACACTGGCATTATTACAAATGAACATTTCTCTAGGAAAATATTCATACATCTCAGGTCTTTCCTTGGCATGATGCCAAAGTTAGACAAATATTTTTGTTATAGTTACATTCTGGTAAGAGACTTTTTCTGTTGTTTGCTGCACTATAAAAACAACAAAGGAAAATGTTAAAGAAAACAACTTCTTTTAAAAATTATCTTTCAAAGGTAAGTTTCCAGGTAAAAAAAAAATTAAAGTAGGCAATAATTATGTGCTTCTACAGTGACAGTGCTGTGAACCTTGATGGGTAGAGAATAAGAGAAAATGAGCAATCTGAGAGTGTACCATTTCTAATTAGGCATCTCCAGTACAGATTGATAAACTTTTTCTGTAAGTGGCCAGATAGTAAATATTTTAGTCTATGCAGGCCACATAGTCTCTGCAATAATTACTCAGTTCTGCTTATGTGGTGCAAAAGCAGCCATTGACAATTGGCAAAATTGTATTCTGTATAACTTTCTTCATAAAAATAGGCTGTGGGTGGGTTCTTCTCATAGCCCTTAATTTTCAACCATTGATGTAGACCATCTGCTTCCACCCACCTTCTCCAAGAAGGTTCTGGGGTTATTGGCTACACACAGCAACCTGGAACAGAACATGATCAGGTCACCTTGTTCCTGTCCTGGAATGCATCTTGGCTGTAGCAATGTTTAATTTATTGAAAGCTCATAGCTTCTCTGTCTGAACTCATATGTGCACCTGTTTCTCTTTACTAGTATTTTTGAAATTGCCTTTTCAGAGGGAAATTTGTATTGAGAGGTGAAAAGGAGGTACAATGAAAGTTGAAAAGGCACTCCTTCTCAAAGTTATTCCATACAATATCAATTTGGGCTCATAAGGAAACATATACCTTTCTTGTTCTACACTGTTCTGAACAAATATAAAAGGGCCTTTATGATGTCTGATTTCTTCATTTCCTTTAAGTGAAAGGGTGAGATTGATATTCAGGTACTTTGAAGTACTTTTATGAGGATTAAATAAGATAACCTCTAAAAGCTCCAAACACAATTTTTGGCACAGTCTTCTCTTTTTAATATATAAATTTATATTTTCCATCTGTTTCCCACTTTTTCATCTTAAGCATTTTCTTTTCCCATGACATTAAAGCTGTTTCAAATTTGATCTACTCAACCACATTTTCATTCTCTTTCTTTTTTAAAATATGTCATTTGTTTATGTATTCATTTAATATACATTTTGAGTGCTTACTATGCTCACATATGTAACAATATTTTATATTCTCAATTATGTGTCACATCTGATTCTCCACATTAGTATAAGTATTTAGATATTTACTTAAAACCGGTATAATTTTCTCAACTAATGCTATCCCTTTACATGATGCTTGAAAAAGAACCCCATGAATTTTTAGTTGTCAATTGTATCATGAAATAATGCATATAAATACACAATTTAAAATCAAAGGACACAAAAGGTAAAGAAATCTTGAAATTCTTTTTTATGTTCCTAATTTATTTAAAATAACAAAACTCAGTGAATTGTTTTCCTTCAAGGTAGCAGATTAAACTCTGTTGAGTGTAAGTGGTAATATTTCCACACTATCACAGTGCTTGCCAATGCACTGACTGTTTCTGTTCCTTTAAAAATATTTCTCTCAACAAATGCCTACAATAACTGGCATTAATACTGAAAATATGTGAGTTAAAATACAGTTCATTTTCTATTTTTATTAGTAATAGATACTGTCTTTCTTACCCCATATTTATGTAATTTGCTAAATTTTATCTGATTGTTCTCAAGACTAATATGGTTTGTGAGTTGTTGGTGATAATAGAGGTTAACTATGTATGACCTTTTGTTTTTAAGCCTTAATTTCTCATTTCAGAATCACTTTCTCTGAGATTTCCATTTTAGAGAAATGAAGAAATTTCTTATCAAAGAATAGACATTTTCAATGTCTTTAATCTTCAGCATGACACATAACTTTGTTGAAAAACTAAATTAAATGATCAGTAATTCACTTTTTTTTTCTAATGAGTCAGACAGAGTTAAAATTTCAGCGTATCGAAGTCCTCCTTAAGGCTTGAAGGATGCATGCAATTATGGTAATGAAACAATCAAGTCCCTGTTTCTAAGAAAGAGCATGAGAGATGTCTCAAACCAGAATAAGCTGACCTCTACAGAATAAAGAAATGAGAACTTTTTTTCTCATATTTTCCAAAGTAGTTAGCAAGATTGGCAAATCTCATGAATTTGATTTAAACCAAATGATGCAGTAAATTCTACTACAATAAATTTTCATATTTTCTTTAACAGAATGGGATATATTGCTTCTATGCTCTAGTGTATAATATAAAGGAGAGCAGCATATGGCACCTTGTTAGAAACATTCCCTAATGAGCTTCAGTAGTAGTCAACAGAGTGGGCAGAGGTTATTTACAGCAATAGCAAACATTAGGGACTTTCTCTTGTAGCTGTAGAGTAGCATATAGAGAATTTGAAACCTGTTTACTGCTTCATTTTATTATCCTCCTTGTAAAACATTGTCTGTTTATTATGCTAACAGTGGTCAGGTTTTTGGTTTTGTTTTGTTTTCAAGTAAGAATGGTTAAAAAGTCATGTGGTGAATCATTGGTTGATGGTACACAATGAAAGCTTATTTTTTCATTACCACTTGACCTGACTGTCCTTAAAAGCATTCAAAAATATAGAGAGTAGAATTAAGGTGTGTGATGGTTAATACTGAGTGTCAACTTGATTGGATTGAAGGATGCAAAGTATTGATACTGGGTGTGTCTGTGAGGGTTTTGTCAAAGGAGATTAACATTTGAAACCAGTGGGCTGGGAAAGGTAGACCGACCCCTAATCTGGGTGGGCACCATCTAATTAGCTGTCAGTGCTGCTAGAATATAAAGCAGGCAGAAAAACGTGAAAAGACTATACTGGCCCAGCCTCCCAGCCTACTTCTTTCACCCTTGCTGGATGCTTTCTGCCCTCAAACATCGGACTCCAAGTTCTTCAGTTTTGAGTCTCCAACGGGCTTTCTTTGCTCCTCAGCTTGCCGACGGCCTATTGTGGGACCTTGTGATTGTGTGATTTAATACTTAATAAACTCCTCTTTATATATATATATATATCTATCTCCTATTAGTTCTGACCCTCTAGAGAACCCTGATTAATACATGGTGAGTTGAGAGAGAACAGTATTTATCTAACAATTCAATCTTAATTATCTAATGATTCAATTTCAAGTATACTCTCTCAATCAATATTATATTTATACACTATTTCAACCTACTACATTGTCTACATACTACACGCAAGGTAAATTGGATGTCAATGGTTATGGTGGGAAACCTTCCTTAACGACTTAAAATGTAGTGGTGGGAAAATAAATTCATAAGTCACATAGTTGCATCCAAATTTCACGGGAACTCAGAGGGGAGAATTTGGAAACTGGGATCCAGAGATGTTTATGCTTGGCTTATAAATACATTGTGAAGGCAATCACAGATCAAGAACATGCTTATTGTCAGCTTTGAAGGGATAAGAGACCTGTATTGGGACAGTATTTATCACGGCATCATCATCCACATTATCTTCACTCTATTTGTTTTCAATAGTGAGATGAAGGACCAAATATGTAAAACCTTAGACATATTGTAATTAAATTTAATTTGAAGAGTTTATATCTCTTTTATTGTCTTTATAGTGCAGCAGTGCAAAAGTGGAAGATGTGCTGGTTAAATTTTCTCAATAACCAATACAATATAGAAGGTGTTAATTCTGTAAATAAATAGATACATAATACCATAGAGATTTTAGGGGTGGTAAAGTATGCCATGTAAATGTTCCTTCATGACCTAGTTACGATGATTATGACTAAAAATATGGATGTTTCTGGGCAATATGTAATTTTCTAATAAATTACAAAGTTTAGTATTATCTCTACAGATTATAGAAAATAAATCCAAATTAAATGTATTAATTAATATATAATTTTTGTTAAAAAACCCTGATAATATAGAAAATAAATCACACTTTTTTTTTGTTTTTTTTTTGAGATGGAGTTTCACTCTGCTACCCAGGCTGGAGTGCAGTGGTGAGATCTTGGCTCACTGCAACCTCTGCATCCTGAATTCAAGCAATACTCCTACCTCAGCCTCCCGAGTAGGTGAGATTACAGGCACATACCACCACCATGTCTGGCTAATTTTTGTATTTTTGGTAGAGATGGGGTTTTGCCATTGTTGGCCAGGCTAATCTTGAACTCCTGGCCTCAAGTGACCCGCCCGCCTCGGCCTCCCAAAGTGCTGGGATTACAGGCATGAGCCAATGTGCCTGGACCATATTTTTATTAATAGTAAATGCTTACCATTTATTTTATATTTAGATAAAGGCACAACTAATCATTTAATTTTTTACTAATTTTTATAACCATTAGTGGTGGAAAATTATCATTATAATTATGCCTCTAGCTGTTTAGAAACTCATTATTTGATAAAATATAATCAAGAAGTCTATAAATATCAAAGTCGATGTTCTTTGATGAATCTGGTAGACTCACAAAACTGATAGAAAACATTTCAAATAATTAATTTGAAACCTTAGTTCTAATAATACAATTATTCAGTTTAACATCTAGTTTGTGCTCACCTTGAAGTTATCTTTTTGTGCAGCATATAATAGTGCAAAATTATTTGAAAGTGTTAAATTTTTCAGAACACAAGTATTTTAATATTGGAATGCATTTTTAATTAAAATCATTTTTATAATCAGAATGATTATTTTAAAAGCAGATAAAGGATAAAGAAAATAATCACATTAATCTTACCATCTGCATATGTACATAAACACATATAAACACCACATTTGAATAATGATATATCTATATTTTAAAATACCTTTATTGAGATATACTTCATAGACCTTAAAATCACCGTTAAGGATGCACAATTTAAGGTTACTTTATATATTCACAAACTTATGCAATCATCATCAAAATTTAAATTCACACTATTTTCATACCTTCAAAAATAAACTCTGTATTACCATCATTCCTCAGTTTTAAAACATTAGTTATCTTTTAGGATGTTATAAGTATATTTCTGTGTCATTTACATATGCATATATACATTTAATAATTTCAACTGATACATATTTTTCTACTACATATTTTATACTCCATGTTATATTTAATCAGTTCTCTTTCTTCTATAAATAATGCTGCAAAAAATAACTTTGCACTTGCACTTTTGATCACTTGTGCAATAACTTCCGTGCAGAAATTCATATTTGTGGAATTTCTAGGTCATTGATTCATATTTTTAAAACTTTGTATGTCACTGTGATTTCTCCGTAATGTCTACAGAAATATGTAATTCCCCCAATATTTAAGTAAATGAAATGTTCTTCTCGAAATAATAGGCATTATATCCTGGGCTTTCCTGACTTAGTTTTCTTTTTTTCCTTACAACCACCTGTTGAATCAACCTAAATTTATTTTAATGCTTTTCTTGAGATAAGAATGAAAGTTTAAGGATTTTCCCCAAATTTTCAGCCAGTAGTCACACTACCAATTACCTGATAGTCAGTCCTTTGCCCATTGATGAAAATCTATTTTGTTTTTAAAGACATATTTAGGTCTAATTGTTAACTGTATAAATCTTTCATTAACTTATGTTTTCACTTCCACAATTTTTTTAATAAATGTGGATTTATAATGCACTTTAAAATCAAACAGAGCCTTGATTTTCTGCTATCTCTTTATAGCTTTTCCCCAGGACATTTCTTGTTTTTAAAAATAAATATTATGCTAAATTAATGGATTGTTTTGAGGAGAACTTATATGTTGAAGTTAATATTCAAAATTTCATTCACAAAAATTATACTTCTCCCCACTTTAATCTTTTAAGATGTATATTTTTCTTCGGAAATCTCTGAAAGTTGATTCTAGTTTAGAGTACATGAAAATATGTGTTATAGAATAATTTCTGCAGAGTGGTAATCAGTTTTCTAAAGTCATAAGTATGTCTACAGAAAGTAACCAAAATTAAATTTTAAATTGTATTTGTTTTCTATGACTGCTGTAACAAATTACCACAAATGTAATTACTTAAAACAATGCAAATTTATTATCTTATAGTTCTGGAGGCCACAAATACAAATTAAGTTTTACTGGAATACAATGAAGGTGTCAGCAAGGCTGCATTTTTGTTTTCTTTTCAAGATGGGGTCTCACTCTCTTGCCCTGGCTGGAGTGCAGTGGCTCATCACAGCTCACTGCAGCCTCAACCTCCCTAGTAACTGGGACTCCAGGCATGTACCACCACACCCAGCTAATTTTTGTATTTTTTTTTTTTGTAGAGATGGGGTTTTTCCATGTTGCCCAGGCTGGTCTCAAACTCCTGGACACAAGTGATCTATCTGCCACCGTCTCTCAAATACTGGGATTATGGTTTTAGGTCTAACGTTTAAGTCTTTAATCCATCTTGAATTGATTTTTGTATAAGGTGTAAGGAAGGGATCCAGTTTCAGCTTTCTACATATGGCTAGCCAGTTTTCCCAGCACCATTTATTAAATAGGGAATCCTTTCCCCATTGCTTGTTTTTCTCAGGTTTGTCAAAGATCAGATAGTTGTAGATACGCGGCATTATTTCTGAGGGCTCTGTTCTGTTCCATTGATCTATATCTCTGTTTTGGTACCAGTACCATGCTGTTTTGGTTACTGTAGCCTTGTAGTATAGTTTGAAGTCAGGTAGTGTGATGCCTCCAGCTTTGTTCTTTTGGCTTAGGATTGACTTGGCGATGCGGGCTCTTTTTTGGTTCCATATGAACTTTAAAGTAGTTTTTTCCAATTCTGTGAAGAAAGGCATTGGTAGCTTGATGGGGATGGCATTGAATCTGTAAATTACTTGGGCAGTATGGCCATTTTCACGATATTGATTCTTCCTACCCATGAGCATGGAATGTTCTTCCATTTGTTTGTATCCTCTTTTATTTCCTTGAGCAGTGGTTTGTAGTTCTCCTTGAAGAGGTCCTTCACATCCCTTGTAAGTTGGATTCCTAGGTATTTTATTCTCTTTGAAGCAATTGTGAATGGGAGTTCACTCATGATTTGGCTCTCTGTTTGTCTGTTGTTGGTGTATAGGAATGCTTGTGATTTTTGCACATTGATTTTGTATCCTGAGACTTTGCTGAAGTTGCTTATCAGCTTAAGGAGATTTTGGGCTGAGACAATGGGGTTTTCTAGATATACAATCATGTCATCTGCAAACAGGGACAATTTGACTTCCTCTTTTCCTAATTGAATAGCCTTTATTTCCTTCTCCTGCCTAATTGCCCTTGCCAGAACTTCCAATACTATGTTGAATAGGAGTGGTGAGAGAGGGCATCCCTGTCTTGTGCCAGTTTTCAAAGGGAATGCTTCCAGTTTTTGCCCATTCAGTATGATATTGGCTGTGGGTTTGTCATAGATAGCTCTTATTATTTTGAAATATGTCCCATCAATACCTAATTTATTGAGAGTTTTTAGCATGAAAGGTTGTTGAATTTTGTCAAAGGCCTTTTCTGCATCTATTGAGATAATCATGTGGTTTTTGTCTTTGGCTCTGTTTATATGCTGGATTACATTTATTGATTTGCATATATTGAACCAGCCTTGCATCCCAGAGATGAAGCCCACTTGATCATGGTGGATAAGCTTTTTGATGTGCTGCTAGATTCGGTTTGCCAGTATTTTATTGAGGATTTTTGCATCAATGTTCATCAAGGATATTGGTCTAAAATTCTCTTTTTTGGTTGTGTCTCTGCCCGGCTTTGTTATCAGAATGATGCTGGCCTCATAAAATGAGTTAGGGAAGATTCCCTCTTTTTCTATTGATTGGAATAGTTTCAGAAGGAATGGTACCAGTTCCTCCTTCTTTCGGCTGTGAATCCACCTGGTCCTGGACTCTTTTTGGTTGGTAGGCTATTGATTATTGCCACAATTTCAGATCCTGTTATTGGTCTATTCAGAGATTCAACTTCTTCCTGGTTTAGTCTTGGGAGAGCGTATGTGTCAAGGAATTTATCCATTTCTTCTAGATTTTCTAGTTTATTTGCGTAGAGGTGTTTGTAGTATTCTCTGATGGTAGTTTGTATTTCTGTGGGATCGGTGGTGATATCCCCTTTATCATTTTTTATTGCGTCTATTTGATTCTTCTCTCTTTTTTTCTTTATTAGTCTTGCTAGCGGTCTATCAATTTTGTTGATCCTTTCAAAAAACCAGCTCCTGGATTCATTAATTTTTTGAAGGGTTTTTTGTGTCTCTATTTCCTTCAGTTCTGCTCTGATTTTAGTTATTTCTTGCCTTCTGCTAGCTTTTGAATGTGTTTGCTCTTGCTTTTCTAGTTCTTTTAATTGTGATGTTAGGGTGTCAATTTTGGATCTTTCCTGCTTTCTCTTGTGGGCATTTAGTGCTATAAATTTCCCTCTACACACTGCTTTGAATGCATCCCAGAGATTCTGGTATGTTGTGTCTTTGTTCTCATTGGTTTCAAAGAACATCTTTATTTCTGCCTTCATTTCGTTATGTACCCAGTAGTCATTCAGGAGCAGGTTGTTCAATTTCTGTGTAGTTGAGCGGTTTTGAGTGAGATTCTTAATCCTGAGTTCTAGTTTGATTGCACTGTGGTCTGAGAGATAGTTTGTTATAATTTCTGTTCTTTTACATTTGCTGAGGAGAGCTTTACTTCCAAGTATGTGGTCAATTTTGGAATAGGTGTGGTGTGGTGCTGAAAAAAATATATATTCTGTTGATTTGGGGTGGAGAGTTCTGCAGATGTCTATTAGGTCTGCTTGGTGCAGAGCTGAGTTCAATTCCTGGGTATCCTTGTTGACTTTCTGTCTCGTTGATCTGTCTAATGTTGACAGTGGGGTGTTAAAGTCTCCCATTATTAATGTGTGGGAGTCTAAGTCTCTTTGTAGGTCACTCAGGACTTGCTTTATGAATCTGGGTGCTCCCGCATTGGGTGCATATATATTTAGGATAGTTAGCTCTTCTTGTTGAATTGATCCCTTTACCATTATGTAATGGCCTTCTTTGTCTCTTTTGATCTTTGTTGGTTTAAAGTCTGTTTTATCAGAGACTAGGATTGCAACCCCTGCCTTTTTTTGTTTTCCATTTGCTTGGTAGATCTTCCTCCATCCTTTTATTTTGAGTCTATGTGTGTCTCTGCACGTGAGATGGGTTTCCTGAATACAGCACACTGATGGGTCTTGACTCTTTATCCAATTTGCCAGTCTGTGTCCTTTAATTGGAGCATTTAGTCCATTTACATTTAAACTTAATAGTGTTATGTGTGAATTTGATCCTGTCATTATGATGTTAGCTGGTTATTTTGCTCGTTAGTTGATGCAGTTTCTTCCTACTCTCAATGGTCTTTACATTTTGGCATGATTTTGCAGCAGCTGGTACCGGTTGTTCCTTTCCATGTTTAGCGCTTCCTTCAGGAGCTCTTTTAGGGCAGGCCTGGTGGTGACAAAATCTCTCAGCATTTGCTTGTCTGTAAAGTATTTTATTTCTCCTTCACTTATGAAGCTTAGTTTGGCTGGATATGAAATTCTGGGTTGAAAATTCTTTTCTTTAAGAATGTTGAATATTGGCCCCCACCCTCTTCTGGCTTGTAGGGTTTCTGCCGAGATATCCGCTGTTAGTCTGATGGGCTTCTCTTTGAGGGTAACCCGACCTTTCTCTCTGGCTGCCCTTAACATTTTTTCCTTCATTTCAACTTTGGTGAATCTGACAATTATGTGTCTTGGAGTTGCTATTCTCAAGGAGTATCTTTGTGGCGTTCTCTGTATTTCCTGAATCTGAACGTTGGCCTGCCTTGCTAGATTGGGGAAATTCTCCTGGATAATATCCTGCAGAGTGTTTTCCAACTTGGTTCCATTCTCCCCATCACTTTCAGGTACACCAATCAGACATAGATTTGGTCTTTTCACATAGTCCCATATTTCTTGGAGGCTTTGCTCATTTCTTTTTATTCTTTTTTCTCTAAATTTTCCTTCTCACTTCATTTCATTCATTTCATCTTCCATTGCTGATACCCTTTCTTCCAGTTGATCACATTGGCTCCTGAGGCTTCTGCATTTTTCACGTAGTTCTCGAGCCTTGGTTTTCAGCTCCATCAGCTCCTTTAAGCACTTCTCTGTATTGGTTATTCTAGTTATACATTCTTCTAAATTTTTTTCAAAGTTTTCAACTTCTTTGCCTTTGGTTTGAATGTCCCCCCGTAGCTCAGAGTAACTTGATCATCTGAAGCCTTCTTCTCTCAGCTCGTCAAAGTCATTCTCCGTCCAGCTTTGTTCCATTGCTGGTGAGGAGCTGCGTTCCTTTGGAGGAGGAGAGGCGCTCTGATTTTTAGAGTTTCCAGTTTTTCTGTTCTGTTTTTTCCCCATCTTTGTGGTTTTATCTACTTTTGGTCTTTGATGATGGTGATGTACAGATGGGTTTTTGGTGTGGATGTCCTTTCTGTTTGTTAGTTTTCCTTCTAACAGACAGGACCCTCAGCTGCAGGTCTGTTGGAGTACCCTGCAGCGTGAGGTGTCAGTGTGCCCCTGTTGGAGGGTGCCTCCCAGTTAGGCTGCTCGGGGGTCAGGGGTCAGGGACCCACTTGAGGAGGCAGTCTGCCCGTTCTCAGATCTACAGCTGTGTACTGGGAGAACCACTGCTCTCTTCAAAGCTGTCAGACAGGGACATTTAAGTCTGCAGAGGTTACTGCTGTCTTTTTGTTTGTCTGTGCCCTGCCCCCAGAGGTGGAGCCTACAGAGGCAGGCAGGCCTCCTTGAGCTGTGGTGGGCTCCACCCTGTTCGAGCTTCCTGGCTGCTTTGCTTACCTAAGCAAGCCTGGGCAATGGTGGGCGCCCCTCCCCCAGCCTCGCTGCCACCTTGCAGTTTGATCTCAAAGTGCTGTGCTAGCAATCAGCGAGACTCCATGGGGTAGGACCCTCCAAGCCAGGTGGGGGATATAATCTCGTGGTGCGCCGTTTTTTAAGCCCGTCGGAAAAGCGTAGTATTCGGGTTGGAGTGACCGGATTTTCCCGATTTTCCAGGTGCCGTCCGTCACCCCTTTCTTTGATTAGGAAAGGGAACTCCCTGACCTCTTGCGCTTCCCGAGTGAGGCAATGCCTCACCCTGCTTCGGCTCGCGCGCGGTGCGCGCACCCACTGACCTGTGCCCACTGTCTGGCACTCCCTAGTGAGATGAACCCAGTACCCCAGATGGAAATGCAGAAATCACCCATCTTCTGCGTCGCTCAGGCTGGGAGCTGTAGACCAGAGCTGTTCCTATTCGGCCATCTTGGCTCCTCCTCCAGGAAGTATTTATTAATACAAACAAACAAGACAACAAAAAATTGAATTTAACTATGGACCCAAAATATGCTGTTCAGTTTAAAAAGCATTTGGAATTACTTGCAAAATATCTTAACAAATAAGTTATGTTTATATTCTTGAAGATGAAACAGTGGAAACTGAATATTATATAATGCTATTACTAAGCAAAATGTTATAATGTCATAAAATAATAAAAAATAGATACTGTACAATCAATTTCCATCTGCTATCACTTACTTATATTAAAAAAGGCTTTTTAGTATCTGTCTACACAATATATTTTAAACCAAACATAATCAACACATTTACAAACCTTTGTTACTGGTGTTTATAGTAGTAAGTATGGAAAAATCTTTTTAATTTTAACCATGTGTTCAAATTCTTTTTAATTTTATATGGCAGATACTTTTAAAATCATTTTTCCTGGATCTGTCCAGGACACATAAATATAAAGGTTTAAACATTTGTGTGTGTGTGTGTGTGTGTGTGTGTGTGTGTGGATTAACATTTATTCAGACTACTTAGTAATTTTTAAATACTCTTTTTCAATAAAAAGAAAGATATATGGCTATTAGATTACTCAGTAATTTTAAGATAAAGCAAATTCTATCAGCTTACTTTGTATCAATAAAAGAGTTAAGTTCTGAAGCTTATTACTTTTACCTAGTTTTCTCTGTGTTTTCTTAGGTTTTATTGTAAGACAAAACAAAAATTATCCTATTTATATATTGTAACCAAATTTACTTTCATTTTATTTTTATTTCAGAATTCCGTTTCCAATTTGATAATTAACCTAAAAAATGAAATGTAATTGAAGGTATTAGAACCAAAACGTCAGAGTTTGATTATACATAACACAGATTTTTTTGTGTGTATATATAGTCATATAATTCTATGCATAAGAAAAGAAATTAGAATATTATGAACTATGACAGGTTTTATACTTGGGGTTGGACATTGTATGTTCAGCATTGCAGACATAAATTTCACTATGATTAAGGTCAAAATTTGACGTAACCTTTTGATTCCTTTTAGAATTCTTATGGGTGAATCAGGATTAAGTTAATTCATATAAAGTATTAGTTTTTAAAAATTTAGTCTTTAAAAATGTATTATTAATGGAGAAGAAAAATAGTAATTATTCCTATAGTTTTTAATAAACACCATTATATGTATAAAGTTTGATGGTATTAAAATTATGCATTAAAATGTTAATCAACATTTAGAAAATACTTATTAGTTGTATGCTATGAAAGCAAATTTAGATCACTTATATGGCCTCTTACTTGCAAATATTTGGGGAAATTCTAAGCACAGAATGATGTTTTATCATTTAGATGTGTTATTCCTCTGTAGCAGAAGCAGAAGTAGTTAGGAAAGTGGCAATACACATAGTTATAACTGAATTGCTGAAAATAAATTATCATGGGAAAAGATATATATCTCCAATTCTGAAAGCAATTCACACAGCTTTGCTATACTAGAAAGTTCACAGATCATTTAACCCATAGAATAAACTCTGTGGCATTGGAGGTCCATTTGAGTAGATTCTGGTATTGAATGACATAATGAAACATGTAAACGATGATGATGCCAATCAGGTAAGACAGTGCCCAGTGGAACTGGAAGCAGAGACACTCTGTGCTTAGAAGGTGATATGGTTTGGCTCTGCATCCCCATCCAAAACTCATCTTGAATTGTGATAATCTCCACCTGTCAAGGGCGGGACCAGGTGGAAGTAATTGAATCATACGGGAGCGGTATTCCCTGTGCTGTTCTCGTGGTAATGAGTGAGTCTCAAAAGATCTGATGGTTTTATAAGCGTCAGGCACTGCCCCTGCTGCCACTCATTCTCTCTCCAGCTGCCCCTGTGAAGAGGTGCCTTCCGCCATGATCGTATTTCCTGAGACCTCCCCAGCCATGCAGAACTGTGAGTCGATTAAACTTCTTTTCTTTATAAATTGCCCAGTCTCAGGTATTTCTTCATAGCAGCATGAGAACAGACTAATACAGAAGGAAATGAGAAAACCTCGTTGAAATAAGGTGATAACCTGATAGGATATGGCAGGAGAGTTAGAAGTCGTGGTGCCTGGAAGATGCAGTGCTGCCCACTGCATGAGGAAATATTCCCCAAGATATGTAGTAGTGCACAATGGGAGCAGAAACATCCAGTGGAAATGCAAACATAGCTTTGTGGGCATTAGCAATACTCTGTCAAACTTTACTGAGTTATGCTGTGTAGCCAACAACTTGTAGAATCTCAGGGGGTTACGAAAGTAAACATTTATTTCTGGTTCACATTATATGTAGACTGTGGGCTGATTTGTGATTCTGCTCCAAACTCTATCTTCTCATTCTTGAAAACGCACTATCTTTTGAGACTTGCTGTTTGAGCGATAGGTGGCAGAAGCATAAGAAACTGAGCTGACAATCATGAAGCTTCTTCTCAGACCTGGCAAAAGTCACATCCAAAAATAAGTGAATAAATAAATAAGTTAAAAGGCAAGCCTTCCAATGGTTTGGGAAAGCATAGAAAAATGTATAGTAAGAAGGCCGGGCGCGGCGGCTCACGCCTGTAATTCCAGCACTTTGGGAGGCCAAGGTGGGCGGATTGCCTGAGCTCAGGATTTTGAGACTAGCCTGGGCAACATGGTGAAACCCTGTCTCTACTAAAAATACAAAATTATCCTGGTGTCGTCGCACACACTTGTAGTCCCAGCTAGGGAGGCTGAGGCAGAAGAATCGCTTGAATCCGGGAGGCGGAGGTTGCGGAGAGCCGAGATTGTGCCACTGCACTCCAGCCTTGGCAACAGAGTGAGACTCTGTCTCCAAAAAAAAAAAAAAAAAAGCCGAATATAGTCCTCTTACAGAAGAGAAAACACATAATCATGAACAAAAATACCATTTAGCCATAGGATCTTTTTTTTTCTCCCCCTGTATGTCTCCTAAAAGAATTTTGAAAATGTCTCCCCAAATATTTAGGTTGACATTTTAAATATTTCATTATGAAAGTTTAGCTACTCAAGTAAAATTTAAATAAAATTAAACATTTAATTAAAATTTTAAAATAAAATTAAATTTAATTCAGAATAAAGTCAGCATCGTCAAACTATACTGTCTCTAATCTTTCATACACAGACTTATAGATCTTTAACACAGAATAAAGTCAAAATTCAACTCTAGAGTTTGGATTTCAAACAAGGACAATAAAGTCTTTTATAAGCAGTGATAATTATATAGGTGACCAAAACTTCAATAATGATGTGACTGCAAAAGAATTATATAAAGAGCCCTCTATAATAAAAGCTTATGATCATTTTTCAATCACATACTCAAGTATCACTGAATCATATAGTGTCACTGAAGAAGCTAATAAAGTCTATGCTGGTATTTCTGAGTTTCCCAATGTAAAAAGCAAATGAGAGAAAATATTTTCCTACTATATAGCATGTGCAAGAAATAATATTCACTTACAAGTAACAACATGAGATAACTACAAATTTATCCACTTTAAAAATCAATATTTTAAAGATAGTTCATCATATAGGTATTAAGTTTTACTTTATGAAAGAGAAATATTTTTATCTGAAAGAATTTAGGTAAATAAATATCCAATATACTAAAGATGTTTTTATTTTTTATTTAAAGGAAAACTAATATGCATCACTATATAACATGAACTTTTCATCTATAATGTATAAAACTTTTAATGCATTTGTTTATTCATATTGCTTAAGTAAATATAATAATGCACTTATTTGTCAATCTTGCACTGTATACCTAAGGAACAAGTTAATTTAATTGCATCTGGGTTCACTGACTGATCTTTCTTGCTTTAAGCCACCATATTCAATAGCTACAATAATGAGTTTTCTTAAAGTAGGTAGGACACTTATATACTTTCAGAGCAAGGTTTAAGTGTAGAAACCTCAAGAGCTGAATGATTTTTTTCCTCATCTATTTTCCAAACATATTACATAAAATGTTAAAATTAGAAAATTCAAGAGACTAATATAATGCATCCCTGTAAATGTATCATATCCTGTAGATTTAAAAATCATTGATATTTTGCACATTTGTTCTAGGTTGAACATTTGTCAAATATTTATATTTTATTTGTTCAATAAGGAAAAACTGATAAAATACTGTGCCTTTGCCTACCTATAATTTATGAATTTATTTTATGTATTGCATTTTTTTCAATTCTGGGAACATAAGCACAATTATGGGAATTGTAGTGACATTAACAATGAACTATTTCAACTACAATAAGTTTACTAAAATATATATTTTTATTTTTTATCAATTTGTTCTATTTCTGTTCAATGTGTATTTGTCAAATTTGATCTTTCATTTTACTTACTTTATAAACAAAGATACTCCAACCAGAAAGTGGCATTTAGGCATCTAAGTATGTATTTCTACAGGAATCATTTGGTCTATCATGGAAGAGATCATAAGGAGCATCTCTATCATAAAACACCTCTCTTATAAGTGTAATGCATATTTAATCACAGTTTTATCATAAAGCACCTATATTATAATTGAACATGTTTATTGTTTCATTGTGATTCTTCCATGTTTTTTATATTTTTATTCTTTTATATGGTCATATTTGTTCGTTGGCTGTATTGCATTATCTATTCTCCGGGAATGCTATTTCAGATAACTTTAAAGTGGGATATCTTAAGGGTATCTAGTTAGTGATGTTTTCTTTTATCTTTAATTAAATTTTCCATCAATTATGTTGGCTATAACAATTGATTAATAATGAAGCTTATGATCCAATCAATTTACAATTACATGACAGCTGCATGTCTCATTTAGATAGTTTGCTATCAAAAATAAAGCAAAAAAATTGCTTTAAGGCATGAATCATGTACATACTTAGGGGATGAGTAAAATATTGATTTTTTTTTTCAGAAACACCATATTCACAGTGTTGGCTTCTCACTGTGAAAAATATTCAACTTAACTTGCACGTGTCTCATGTCTTTTTATTTCTCAGAGATTGAATTCATTTTAGTATGGTAGTATTTCTCAAGTTCATAAAGTCATTAAAATAAATACAAATCTATCTTTAAGTAAACTTTCCTAAGACTGAACAATTTACATGACAAAATTTACATTTCAAGTTGAAATTAATAAATTTGAATCATTTCATTTCTTTCCATGAAAATTGCCCGTTATTTATAGAAGAAATTTTATCACTTTAGCAATTCACACATTTAATTATCACATAAATGAATAATATATCTTTAATTTAATGTTTGATAGCATTTCTCTATAGCCAAAAGGAACACTGATATATAAATGCTTTTACAAAGATTTTTTAAATATGAATTCAAAAAAAATTTCCTGAGAGCAAATTCTATTTGACTACAGCAAACCTCTATTTGTGGGAATTGTTATCAGTACTTATAATCAAGAATAACCTTCAAGGGGATAGCAGAGCAGCATGAATTCAAAGCAAGGATTCAAGAAATGGAAACGTTCTCATCATTATGGAAAATGGGTTCAGTTTTAATCCCAGGAAGAACAGTTACACAATTGAAATTTCCTTTTTATAATTTATCTTCTGAAGAGGCAAGTGTCTTTTTTGAGAAAATTCTCTCTGGGAATGAAGCTTACAGTTTTTTAGAAAGTCAAATATGACAAAGAAAATATTATATTCTCTTATCATATCTGCTATTTATATAAATAAACTCTGCATGGCGGCCCTATTTTTCTTGTTCTAATGTTCCTGGCTTTCACATTGTTTTGATGAAATGCTCTGCATATTTTAGAACTATCACAAAATATATTCCAATTTTATGCTGAAGAAAATTATATCTATTGAGTGTTTTGTAAATCTCAAGAATGCAAAAATGGAGACAGTATATTGGAGCAATAGAGTAGACATTAGTACATAATGGTCATTTACTTATTGAATAAATATTTTTTACGATTGATGTCAAGGTAAAGTTTCAGTAAAATTGTGCCAGTGCATACACATGTGTGGAGGTCAGAATTGCTTGTATTATTCACTATCAGACTAAATTGATATATTAAGAAAATAGATCAGCTACATTATTTATACAGAATATTTTTCAGCAGGTTCAATTGTCAAATAGCTCTTCAGAAACTCACTATGTCCTTAAACTATTTATCTAAAACCCAAGACACTAAATTAAAAATAAAATAAAATAAATGGAGGAAAGAGATTGCAGGATAAAGCTTCCAAAAGAGAATTTTTGTAAAAAAGGAGATTTTGGAGCTTACCAATAATGGCAATTGAACTCTTAATGTATGCAGACACATTATGGTGAACTTTACATGTATTTCTCATTTTTACAATTTATAAAATGTTCCATTCAATCCCCTCAAGAAAAATCTATGAGACAGGTAATATTATCTCCATTTTTCAGATGAACAAGAATAAAGCTTCAAAAGTTATGCATCTTGCCTAAGATCACATAGCAGCAACTGTCAAAGGCAGAATCCTCCCAAGTCTGTGCAACAGCAAAATGTGTGCTTTTTGTTTGTGCACTACTGGGTGCCTAACTGCTGTTATTAGTCAGGTGTTCCAAAGAAACAGACCTAATTACATACATATATAATATATCAATATATAGATATATGAAATTTATGAAATTTATTCTAAGGAAATTGCCTCACACAATTATGAAGGCTGCGGAAAGTTCTAAGATATTCCATCTGTAAGCTGGAGACCCAGGAGAACTGGTGGTATAGTTCTAGTCTGAGGCCAAAGACCTGAGAATCAGAAGAACTGAGGGGATAAGTTCCAGTCTGAGAGCAGAAGACCCAGTCTTCTGGCCAGACAGGTTGGCACTTAAAATTAATCATCACAAGTACAACCCTAGTCAACTAGCGGCCTGTATGTACCTCTTTAAACCATACTTAATCTCCAAATGAAGACTATAGTAAAGTAATAATTCTGCCTAACATGATATAACTATTCTACATAACATACCAAATACACTTACCTGTTTCCCTGAAGAGGAGGTAAAGTACTTTGGCAGTGTTTATTCTTCTCCTTGATATCCCATAACTTAAAGTCTGTAATATAAAAGTCAATACATCTAAAATTACATGGTAAGGGACTAAGAAAATGCATGTGTGTGTGTGTGTGTGTACACACATACATATATATTTGCAGTATACACACACAGAGGTATTGATTAAAAAATTAAAGAGGAAATGCTTATGACAATTACAATATTCATTTTTGTAACTGGTGGTCATATTGTTGTAACAGTATTCACAGCTACCTACTTCCATTACTCATTCTGTATCTCCTTTGTCTTCAGCAAACACCTCATTTGGTCAGGATTCTTTACCTGATAGAGTAATTACCTGAAGATTTGGTAATCTTCATTCCTGAAGGGTCTGGGCAATTAGTGGTTCTGCTTGGAATAGGTTGTTATAGTTTTCTATTTGACCATAACCACAGGGCATGATAATACTAACAGACACCCCAGGGGATCTCCTGTATTCCAAACATACTCTTTCTTACCTCCATTTTGGAAAAATAATCCAACGTCCCCTTCGTGGCCGTGATCAATAACACCAACCAGCACAAAATCTCTTCTCATTTCCTGTTATTATTTTGTTTTTGTTTTCATTTTCCTCTGGCTTTATCAAGGTATAATTGAAAAATAAATTTTGTATATATTAATGGTATGCAATATGATTTATTGATTGATGTGTACATTGTAAATTGATTAAAACAAGCTAACATATCCATATCCATCACCTCATATACTTTTTTGTAGTGACAACATTTAAAATTTTCAAGTATAAATTATACATTTTTAAATATGCATTAACGCTAATTAATATTAAAGTCATCGTGCAGTATAATAGGTCTCCATAACTTTTTTCTCCTCTCTAACTGAAATTTTGCATCCTTTGACAAATACTGCTCCCTGCCTTCCAGCCCCTGGCAAACATCCTTCTATTGTCTACTTCTATGAGTTTGTCTTTTAGATTTGATATGTAAATGAGACTTGTGATATTTGCCTTCCTGTGCCTAGCTTAAATTGCTTAACATGTCCTTGAGATTCATATAGGTTGTTTCAAATGACAGGATTATTTTCTATTTTTTAAGGCTAAATGGTATTCCATTTTATATATATATATAATATAGATAAAATATATGTATGTATATATGATATATGTTATATATATCAATTTTTATATATGCATATATACACACATATATAAAACATTTTAATCTATTTGTGGAGGGACACTTAGCTTTACTTCATATTCTGGCAATTGTAAATAATGCTGCAATGATTATGGGAGTGGAGGTATCTCTTTCCACATACTGATGTTATGTCCTTTGGGTATATACAGGGCAAATCTCAGAGATATTATGGGTCTGGTTCCAGACCACAAAATAATGTGAACATTGCATTTCCCAGTGCATAAAAAAGTTACATTCAGACAATACTGTAGTTCATGAAGTGCTCAGTAGCATTATATATTTTTTACTTTGTTTATATTACTTAATTTAAAAATACTTATTGCTAAAAAATGCTAAGGATCATCTGTGCCTTCAGTGAGTTGGAATCTTTTAGCTGGTGGAGGGTCTTGCCTTGATGTTGATGGCTGCTCATTGATCAATGTGGTGGTTTCTGAAGGTTGGGGTGGCTGTGGTAACTTATTAAAATAAGACAACAATGAAATTTTAAATATTGAGTGACTCTTCATAAAACATTTCTCTGTATCATGAGAGGATGTTTGCTAGCATTTTACTTACATATAGCTTCTTTCAAAATTGAAATCAAACCTCTCAAACCCTGTTACTGCTTGACCAACTAAGTTTATGTATTATGTTAAATTTGATTTTCTAGCATTTTTTTGAGAACTTTTGCATCAATGTTCATCAGAGATATTGACCTAGAGTTTTCTTCCTTTTTTTTTTTTTTTGACATATCTTTGTCTTGTTTTGGTTATGAGGGCAAAACTGGCCTCTTAGGATGAGTTTGAAGTATTCCCCCTGCTCTGTTTTTTGGAATAGTTTGAGTAGAATTGATGTTCGTTCTTTAAATGTTATGTATAATTCAGCAATGAAGCCATCGTGTCCTGGGTTTTTCTTTGCTAAGATACTATTTATTATAGCTTTAATCTCATTACTTGTTATTGGTCTATTAAAATTTTGGATGTCTTCATGGTTAAATTTTGGTAGATTTTATATGTCTAGAAATGTATCCATTTCTTTGAGGTTTTCCAATTTAGTGGCATATCAACGGCTCTTAGCAGCCTCTAATGATCCTCTAACCTTCTGTTGGTATTAGTTGTAATGTCTCCTTTTTCATCTCTGATTTTATTTATTTGGGTCTTTTCTCTTTATTTTCTTATTTAGTCTGGCTACAGGTTTGTCCATTTTATTTATCTCTTCCAAAAGCCAACATTTTATTTCATAGATATTTTGTATTGTGTTTTTCATCTTACTTTTATTTATTTATGCTCTGTTTATTTTTTTCCTCTTCTAATGTTGAGTTTTGTTTGCTCTTTTCTAGTTTTTAAGATTTGTGATTAGGTTGTTTATTTGACGTTCTTTTTTTATGTAGGCACTTACAGCTATAAATTTCCCTGTTTGTATTGCTTTCACTGTATTATGCTGTGTTTTCATTTTCATTTGTTTGAATAAATTTTTAAATCTTTTTCTAAATTTTGTCATTGACCTACTGGTCATTCAGGAGCATGTTATTTAATTTCCATGTGTTTATGGCTTCCAAAATTCCTCTTGTTGATTTCTACTTTTATTCTATTGTGCTCAGAGAAAATACATCATGTAATTTCAGTTATTTAAAAATGTTTAAGATTTTTTTTTGCCTAACACAATTTATTCTTGAGAATGATATATGTGCAGAGGAGAAGAATGTGTAATCTGTAGCAACTCGATGAAATGATCTGTAAATATCTATTAGATCCATTTGGCCTACAGCACTCAATGTTTCTTTGTTGGTTTTCTGTGTGAATAATCTGTCCAATGCTGAAAATGGTGTGTTGAAGTCTCCAGGTATTGTATTGGGGTTTATCTCTCTCTTTAACTCTAATAATATTTGCTTTATATATCCGAGTGTTCCAGTGGCTGAATGAATATATATTTAGAATTGTTATATCCTCTTGCTGAATCAATACCTTCATCATTATATAATGCTTTTGTCTCTTTTTATAGTTCTTGTCTTGAAATTTATTTTGTGTGGTTTAAGTATAGCCACTTACATTCTTTTTTGTTTTCCATTGGTGTAGAATATCTTTTTCCAGCCCTTTATTTTCAGTCTATGTGTGTCTTTATAACAAAAGTGTTTTTTCTTCTAGGCAAAAGATCACTGGGTCATTTTTGTTATCCATTCACCACTCTGTATGTTTTGATTGAAGAGTTTAGTATATACATACAATGTTATTATTGATAAGTAAGAACTTACTCTTGCCATTGTTTTCCGGTTGTTTTTACATCTTCTTTTTTTCTTCCTTCATATCTTCCTTTTAGTGAAGGTGGTTTTGTCTCATGTGGTATGTTTTAATTACTTACTTTTTACTTTTTGTGTATCTGTTGCATGTTTTCAGATTTGAGGTTACCATAAGGCTTACAAGTAATAACTTATTACTCATTTTGTATACAGGTGAACACAATACAAACTGTATAAACAAGCAAATAAATAAGCAAGGAGAAAACTTATAAAAACTCCACATTAACTTCATCCCCATGCTTTCGTGCTTTTTACCTTTTTGTTGTTTCCATTTATGTCTTATTGTACTATGTCTTCAAAAGTTATTTTTTATCAGATCATCTTTTACTTTTATTTATGATAGGAGTAGTTTACACACACTACAATTACAGTATTCTGTTTTTCTGTGTACTCGATATTATCAGTGAGTTTTTGTTGTTGTTTGTATTTTTTTAATTTCAGATGATTTCTTATTGTTTATTAGCATACATTTTTTTTTCTTCAGATTGAAGAACTCCCATTATCATTTCTTGCAGAACTGCTGTGGTGTTGATGAAATCCCTCAACTTTTGTTTGTCTGGGAAAGTCCTTATTTCCCTTTATGTTTGAAGGATATGTTTGCTGGATATACTATTCTAGGATAAAGGCTTTCTTTTTCCTCAGCAGTTTAAATATTTCATGTTATCCTCTCTTAACCTGTAAGGTTGCCACTGAGAATTCTGCTGCCAGCTGTATTGGAGCTCCTTTGTATGTTATTTGTTTCTTTTGCCCTACTGTTTTCAGGATCTGTTCTTTATCCTTGATCTTTGGGAGTTTGATTATTAAATATCTTGAGGCAGTCTGATTTGGGTTAAATCTGCTTGATGTTCTATAATTTTCTTGTACTTGAATATTGATTTTTTTCTCTAGGTTTTGGAAATTCTCTATTATTTTCCCTTTGAATAAACTAACTTGATTTCCTTCTCTCTCTCTCTCTCTCTCCCACCTGTTTAAGACCAATAACTCTAGATTTGCCCTTCTGAGGCTATTTTATGGATCTTGTAGGCATGTTTTATTCTTTGTTATTCCTTTTTCTCTTGTCTCCTCTGACTATGCATTTTCAAATAGCCTATCTTCAACCTCACTAATTCTTTCTTCTGCTTGATCAATTCTGCTGTTAAGAGACTCTGATGTGTTCTTCAGTATGTCAACTGGATTTTCAGCTCCAGAATTTCTGCTTGATTGCTCTCAATTATCTCAATATATGTATTAAATTTATCTGAAAAAATTTTGATTTCCATCTGTGTGTTATCTTGAATTTGAGTTTTTTTCAAGACAGCTATTTTGAATCCTCTTTCTGAAAGGTCTCACATCTCTTTTTCTGATACTGATTACTTGTGCCTTATTTACTTTGTTTGGTGAGGGTACTTTTTTATTGTGTTGATACTTGTAGATGTTCTTCAGTGTTTGGACATTAAAGAGTTAGGTATTTTTTGTAGTCTTAAAAATCTGGGCTTCTTTGTACCCTTCCTTCTTGGGAAGGCCTTCAAGTATTTAAAGGGACTTGGGTGTAGTGATCTAAGTCTTGGTTATTGCAGCTGTATCTGTATTAAGGAGCACCCCAAGACTAATAATGCTGTGGCCCTTGCAGACTCATAGAGGTACCACCTTGGTGGTCTTGAGTAAGACCTGGGAGAATTCCCTAGATTACTAGGCAGATACTTTTGTTCTTTTTCCAGACATTCCCCCAGTCAAATTGAGTCTCTCTCTGTGCTGAGCTTCCTGGAGCTGGAGGAGATGTGAAACAAGCACCCCTGTGGCTACCATCACTGAAACTGCCCTGAATGAGACCTGAAGCCATCACAGCACTGGGTTTTGCCCAGGACCCAGGGTGACCACTGCCTGGCTACTACATATGTTCACTTATTGCCCAGGGGATCTACCATCAACAGCTGGTGAATCCATCCAGGTTCAGTTCCTTTCCTTTAGGGTGGCAAGATCCCCCCTGGTCCTGGGTGGGTCCAGATACACCATCCAGGAGCCAGGGCCTGAAGTGAAGAGCCTCAGGAATCTACCTATTTAACTGCGGTGCCCTATTTAACTGTGGCTGAGCTGGCACCCAAGCTGTGAGACAAAGACATTTGCACTCTTCCTTCTCTTTTCCTCAAGAAGAGGAGTCTTTCCCTTTGGTCACTACTGCCCCAGGCCCACAGAAAGTACTGACTGGCTACCATTAATCTTCACTCAAGGCCCCGAGGGCTCTTCAATCAGCTTGTGGTAAGTGCTGCCAGGGCTGTGTCTCTCCCTTCAGGGCAATGGGGTCCTGTCCTGCCCAGGGCAGGTCCATAAATTCTGCCCCAGACCCAGATCCTGGAACTGAGGATCCCAGTAGCCAGCTTGGTAGTCTGCCTCACTGTGGCCCAGCTAGTACCCAAGCCATAAGACAAAGTCCCGTTTTCTCATCCCTCTCCTTTCCTCAAGCAGAAGGAGTTTCTCCCCACAACCACCACAGCTGGGAATGTGCTGGGTCACACTTGAAGCCAGCATGGCTTTGAATCTCACCTTAGACCTGCAGCAAGTTTTGTCTGTCTGACTACCACTACTGATTATTCAGGGCTAAAAGGCCCTTTATTTAGCAGGTGATGAATCCTGCCAGGACTGGGTCTTTCTCTTTGTGGAAGTAGGTTCCCTTCTGGCCAGAATGTATCTAGAAATGTCATCCAAGAGCTAGGGCCTGGAATGGGGTGCTTAGGACTCTGCCTGGTGCCCTATTCTACTGTGGATGAGTTGGTAACAAGTTGCAAGGCAAAGTTCTGTTTATTCTCCTCTCCTCCTCAATCACAACAAAGGTGTCTTTCCTGGAGCTGTGAGCTGTGCTGCCTGGGGTTTGGGAAACACTGATGAGAGCACTCCCTTGGCCTCCCCAGCTGGTATCTCAATAGGTCACCTGCTCCTTATATCAACTGGCTCTAAGCCAGCACAGAACCAGGACTTGCCCAGGAATTGCAGTCCTTGTGGCCTAGATTGCTGATATAGTTTGAAAATGTGTCCCCGCTGAATCTCATGTTGAAATTTTATCCCCAACGTTGGAGGTATATCCTGGTGGGAGAGGATTGGATCACAGAGGTGAATCCCTCTTGGGTTGGTACTAATGTTGTAGGAGTTATGAAGAAATTATTTTAGGTAGATAAGAGAGGAAAAGGGGTCCTTGGGAAGTTTTCATTTTTTAAAGAATCTTCAGAAGAGTTTCTTGTAAATTCCCAGCTCTTAGAGCCCACAGGCAACCTTTGATATGTAAATACAGGCCATTAGCAACTGGATCCACCCAAACATGGCAATTCTTATGGCCTTCTTGCCCTTTCCCCACATGTTCCTGGCAACATGGCCACCTCCACATATCCCCACATGTGTAGAACATCATGGTGCCATGCATTTGCATATTAAAAGGCTGGGGTGAGAAAGCCAGCTTTTTCGTGGGCTAAGTGAATGACATGCCTGGTCAAATCAATCCCTGAGCCCTGTGCAAATCAGATACTGCCTCCTCCAGCCTCTGCATGTATACCTGGCTGATGTCCACCGTACTTGCGGACCTCCTCTTTCTGCTTTGGAGCCCTCCTCCTTCTGTCTCTGTATGGGGGAGCCCCTTCCTTCTGCCTTTTCTTTTCTTTCTTGCGTATTAAACTCTCTGCTCCTTAAAACCACTCCACATGTGTTCGTGTTGTTTTATCTAAACTGTCATGAGGACCAAGAACCCTGGTGTTCTCCACTCGTTGGAGCCATATCACTATCCTCATGATAGTAAGTGAGTTCTCATGAGATCTTGTTAAATGTGTTGGCACCTCTCCTGCCTTTGCTCCTGCTCCCACCATGTGAGACTTTTGCTTCCCCTTTGCCTTCTGTCATGATTGTGAACTTTGTGACAACTCCTGAGAAGCAGATGCTGACGCTGTATTTCCTCTACTCTCTGCTGAATCATAAGGCAGTTAAATCTCTTTTCTTATAAATTACCCATTCTCGGGTATTTTTTATAGCAGTGCAAGAATGGGATAATACCACTGACTTCCATGTTTATTTAGGACCCCAGAGCATTTTAGTCTGTGGAGGTGGGGCTTGCTGGAACTCCAGTTCTGACTGCTGGGATAGATAATTTATCTCTGGCTAGGGCTGATCTAAATGCTTTCTCCATGTGTGCTGGCTAAGTTCTGCCCCATGTTGCTTTCTGCTGTGACAAGGCAGCATTGAGTTCTGATACACTCTCTCCCCTAATTGCAAGATTCTCTATGTGTGCCATGTGGCCACTGCCTGCGGACTGGGGAGAGGTGGTATAGGTGATTTAAGATTGCCTTGTCTTTTATTTTTAGGGCCCTTTTTCTTAAGATACTAAAACCAGATACTGTGTGATAGCTCACCTAATTTTTCATTCTTATAAAGGTGCTTTTTTGTGTGGAGAGTTGTTCAGTTTTGTGTTCCTCCAGGGGTGAAGATTGCTGGAGGCTTCTATTCAGCCATCTTGCTCTGCCTCATTTTGATCATATGGTTTTATTCTTTATTCTGTTAATGTGGTGTATCATACTTATTGATTAGTGAATGTTGAACATTGTTGCATATAGGAATAAACCTTTTCTGATAGTGGTAAATGATCCTTTTTATGTGATGTTGAATTTTGTCTGCTAGTGTTTTCTTGAGTATTTTGCATCTATGTTCATCAAAGTAATTGCTCTGTCATTTGCTTTACTTGTAGTGTCCTTGTCTTACTTTGGTGTAAGGGTAATGTCTGCCCAGTAAAGTAAGTTTGGATGTATCCTCTCCTCTTCAATTTTTGAAGTTTGGAAGGATTTGCTGCCATCCACTTTCAGCGTCTGTATGTCCTTAAAGCTAAAGTGAGTCTCTTGTGGGCAATACATGTTTAGATGTAAAAACAAAAACAAAAAAAAATCAATTCAGCCACTCTATGCTTTTTGATGGAATAATTTAATCCATTTATATTTAAAGTAGTTACTGATAAGTAAGGAGTTACTAATACTCCTCTTTTGTTAATTGTTTTCTATCTTCCTCTTTTTTCTTTGCTCTTTTATTATTTTGTGGTGATATACTTTGCTTAATTTCTTTTTAGTTTTTGTGTATCTATAGTATTTGCTTTTGGTGATTTTCATGAAGCTTACATAAAACATCCATGATTATAACATTCTATTTTAACCTGATAAGTAAACTTCAACTGCATACAAACCTGCACATTTTAACTTCTTTTGCTCCACATTTTATGTTATTTATTTTACAATTTACCACTTTTATATATTGTGAACCCACTAACAAGTGATAATATCAATCTGTAGTTAGTTTTAACATTTTTGTAATTTTAAGTTTTATATTATAGTTAACCATGATTTATGTACCATCATTAGAATATCCTGAATCTAATGATAATTTTATCTTTATAGTCACTTGTATAACCTCATGTGTTTTCATGTTGTTAGTTAGCATCCTTTTATTTTAACTCAAAGAACTCTATCATTTAATACAAGCCAAATCTAGTGGTGATGAACAGCCACTGCTTTTGTTTTCTCTGTGAAAAATCTTTATATATCCTTCATTTTTGAGGAATACCTTTGCCAGGTGTAGAAATCTTAGTTGACAGGTTTTTATTTATTTATTTGTCAGCTCTTTGAATATATCCTCACACTCTTCTTGGCCTGCTGTGTTTCTGCTGGAAAATTATTTAGCTTTATAGCAGACTTGTATGTGGTGAATTGCTTTTTCCTTGCTTCTTTCAAAATTCTGTCCTTGTCTTTGAATTTTGAAAATTTGATTCTAAAGTATTTCAGTAAAAATATCCTTATATTTAATCTATATGGGGATTTTTGTGTTATGGATCTGGATGTTCAATTTTGTCTCCATGTCTGGGGTATTTTCTGTCATTTTCTTAAAATAAGCTTTCTGCCCCATTTCTTTATCTGATTTGTGCATATTTTTGTCCTATTGACAGTGTCTCATAACTCCTGCTTATTTTCCTCACTTTTATTCATTCTTGTTTTTGTTGTTCTTCCTCTGACTAGAAAATTTTAAATGCCTGATTTTGAGCTTATTGATATTTTCTTCTGCTTCATCAAGTCCGGTACTGAAGCTCTCTATTGAGCATTTTATTTCTGTCATTGTCTTTTTTGTCTCCAGATGTTTTGTCTGGTTCTTTTTCATGGTTTCTCCCTTTTTTGGACTTCCAATTGTGCTTGTGTATTGTTCTCATAATATTGTTTATTTGTCTGTCTGTGGTCTCGTAGCTCAGTGAACTTCTTTAAGATGTTTATATTGAATTGATCAGGCAGCTCACAGATCTCCATTTTAAGGACTGTTACTGGTGCTTCATTCCTTGGGTGGTATTATGTTTTTATAATTATTTATGATTCTTGTGGCCATGCATTGATATTTGTGCATTGGAAGAAGTAGGTGATTATTAGAGTCTCTATATATTTGTTTTAGGAGCAAAAGCTCTTCACCAGTTAGCCTGTCCATAGCTTCAGAATATGCTATCTGGAAAGTCTGCAGTTGGACTTGCTGTTGCTGTCCTTGGAAAGTCTGGCCTGGTGTCTGACATGTGGATTTACAGGGGCCTGACAGGTACCTGTTTTTTTAGGGTAATGCCTGGAACTTGGATTCTCTAGGGCAGACCTAGAGGTTGTATACGCTATAAAGAGGACCTGGATCCTGGGTTTGTAGGGGCAGGGCTGATAATGGAATTAACTGGGGTAGACCTGTCTACTGGGTTCATGAGGGCATGCTAGAGCCTGTGTCCTTGGAGGCCAGCTTAAAACTTGAGTCTATGGTAGCTCTCCTGGAGCTGGGTGGGCTTTGAGCCTAATTTTGTGTGGGCTGGCTTGGCACTGGGGTAGACCAGAAGTGTTGGTCTCTGGGAGTCAAGCATAAGTGCTGTTTCCACATATACTGGCTTGGATCCTGGATTTGTAAGAGTGGTTTTGGAGCCTGTGTCCACAGGGGTCAACCTAATGCTGGCATGTATTAGAACAAGCTTGGAACTTGGGTCTATTAGAGTAGGCCTAGACCATGAGTTCACCTGAAGCTGGGTCAGTGGGGAGAAGCCTAGGGTCTAGGGCTATCCTGGCATAGGGGCAAGCCAGGAGCCTGAATCCTTGGGTGCTGGCTTGATGCCTGAGTCTCAGGGAGCAAATGTGGAGGCTAGGTCTGTGAGTTCTGGTTATACACATGGGTGCTGGCCTGGAGTCTGGGATCTTGGGTCCAGCCTAGTGCTGGGCAGGCTTGGAGTCTTAGTGCCCAGAGGTGAGCTTGGAGATTGCATCAATGGGAACCAGTCCAGCATCTTGACTATAAATGATGGCCATGAGAGAATCAACATCATGTATTGTACACTAACTGAGAACATACATAGTCTTCTGGAGAACTTTGTATCAGCCCCACAAAGCATCATCATCAAGTTAGTAGTGTAACTGAGTCTTCAAGGAGCATTCTGTCATATCTTCAAGCCAGCTACTTCAGAATGGTTAGGAATATGAAAAGACCAATAAATACTAGGAGCATAAGCTTAAGATGTTTATATAATTGAAATAATTCATTGATAAGATGCAATACTTTGTTGAATACCATGTTGATGGATAAGGCATTCTATAACCCCATTGTTGGCAGTTTTGGCAGAAGCATTGTGTGCAGGAAAGCTAAATTTATGTCCAGAGTAAGTGTGTATTCCATTAAGAACAAAACACTGTGCATTCCATGATGAAAGACGTCCACTGTAATCAACCTTCCACCAGTTAGCTGGCTGATCACCCCGGGAAATGGTGCCATACTAGGGACTCAGTGTTGGCCTTTACTGGTGCCTGGTCTTTACTGAGATGGAGTACACAGCAGTGGCTGGAGCTAACTCAGCCTTTGTGGATAGAAATACATGTTGCCGAGCCAATGCCTAACAGGTCATCTGTTCTACTTGATTACTAAAATTGTCCTCTGCTGAGTTCCTTCTTCGGTGTGCATTTATATAGGACAAAATTGTCTCCATTTTTTGCCTTTTCAAAGAGATCTGTCTACATACCTCATCCACACATGACCTTGCCACTATTTATTCAACTGCATTCTTTCCAAGTCCTTGACCATCCAGCCAAACTTTCGGTCACAATCCACATATCCCACATATGGCCCCTTCTCTTTCCCAACAAAGTGGACAACCAAGTGAACTTCTCAAGTCTCTACCAGCTGAGCGGATTTTCCTGCAACATTGTTTTTTTTTTTTGGGAATGTCCCAGAAAGAGCCTGTATTGCCTCAGCTGTCCACTTCTGGGTGATGCCAACATATCACTTACAACCATCTGTAAACTAGGCTTAATTCCTGGCCTGAGATGTCCTCTTGTGTCCATAGTGCAGGATGAGACAGAAAAGGCAACATAGGAAGAGTGGAGACTATGAACATTTGGCCACTTTTTCATGTGACTTCAGCACTTTTAAAAAAATATATTTTTAATTTTTGTGGATACATAATGTGCATATATATTTTTGAGGTATAAGAGAGATTTTGATACAGCCATGAAATGCATAATAATCACATCAGAGTAAATGGGGTATTCATCACCTCCAGCATTTATCCTTTGTGTTACAAACTATCCCATTATACTATTAGTTATTTTAAAATGCACAATTAAATGATTATTGACTATAGTCACCTTGTTGTGTTACCAAACACTAGATATCATTTTTTTCTTTCCATTTTTTGTTTCCATTAACCATTATCACTTTCCCCTACCCTCTCACTACCCTTCCAAGCTCTGGTCACCTTCTTGAGCCCAATTACATATATACAACTTAATTTGATGATTTGGTAATGCTGTGCACACCCAACTTTATGACTTAGTGGCTCAGATAACATCCAGTTCATGACTGACAAATAATTTGCATACTAATTTGGTGGGCCATGGTTAAGCATTCAGTCTCTGCTTAGGCTCAGTAGAAAGCCAGGAGGTAGAGAGTAGTTATCTACTCTCTCTGGGGAGGATGCCAGGGATTGGTAAAAAATCCTAAGGATGTGCTATGCAGTTCATTTACAGGGGCAGGCCAAAGGCTTCAAAAGCATCCTTAATTGCCATAGCTACTTCAAGTACCCTAGATCTTCTAGATCATAATGTACAAGTGACAAAGCAGCTTGCAAACCTGCCTGGACCTATTGCAGGGTTTTGGGGAGTAATTTAATAAATGGGCCAGTGTAACACATCCAAATGAGATATGTGTTGCATCCAGAATCCACAGTGGTCCACTAAGTGTTGTGACTCCTTTTTAGTTATAGGAGGGGCCAGATGCAAGAACTTACACTTTACTTTAGCTTAACATGCTCCATTGCCAGTACTAAAATCTGTGTTCATCTGTTCAGGTTGCTATAACAAAATACCACAAACTAGGAGGCCTAAACAATAGCCATTTATTTTCCATAGCTCTGGAGACTGGGAAGTTCAAGAACATGGTGCCAGCAGATTTAGATCATGGTGAGGGGCCTCCTCTTGGCTTTTCGATTGATGCCTTCCTGCTGTGTTCTTACATGACCTTTCCTCAGTGCATGCTATGGCAAGAGAATCAGAGAGGAAGCAAGCTCTCTGATGTCTCTTCTTATAAGGGCACTAATCCCATGATAAGTGTCCCATCCTCTTCAGCTCTTTTAAACCAAATTACCTTCTAATGGCTCCATCTTCAAATATCTTCACATTAGGGCTTAGAACTTCCACATAAGAATTTTAGGAGGATACAAGTCCATCACATTATGCCCCGACCCACCAAATTCATGTTCTTATCACATGCAAAACACATATTTTCATCTCAACAGCCCCAAAAGTCTTAACGTGTACCAGCTCTCTATTCTAAAGTCTAAAGTCTGAAGTCTCATAGAAATTTCACCTGTATCAGATTATGGGTACAACTGGCACTACTCTTCTTTCTGAGGCAAAATTCCTCTACAGTTGTGAACCTCTGAAACCAGACAACTGTGTGCTTTCAAAATTCAGTAGTGGGATAGGCATAGGGTAGATATTTCCATTCCAAAATTAAAAAATAGAAAAGAAGAAAGGTCTCTGGACAATTCCTAAACCTAGCAAGACAAATTACACTGGTTCTTCAGTTTTGAGAGTAACCCTATTTGGCTCAATGACCCCCACCTTTCAGGCCCATTGGGGTGGCAGTGTCATCCTCATAGCTCTGCTGGGTGGCCCTGCTGCTTTGGCATCTCTTTGCAAGGGTTTTTTTTAAATACAGCTTTTGCAAAGTTGGCTTTAGTCCTAAGGCCTGAGAACCAGGAGAGCTAATGATTTAATTTTTAGTCAGAGAGGCAGACAGGACTGATGTCCCAGCTCATATAGTCAGGCAGAGAGAGTAAATTCTCCCTTTCTTCACTTTTTTGTTCAATTGAGTCCCTCAAGAAATTTGATGATGTCCTTTCACATTGGGAAGCAACATTTGTTTTATACAATTAACCAATTCAAGTGCTACTTTCTTCTGAAAAAACTTCACGGACACATCTGAAACTAATCTTTAACTAAATATCTGGGAATCCAAAGACTCAATCAGCTTGAAACATAAAATTAACCATCCCAACTGACAACCACTAAAACCATGGAGAAATAAAGTTTGTAATTTTCTAGTCCTTAAGGAGCATATAAGCTTTTGGGGTCAGGGAAAATAAATAAATAAATTAATTAATTAAAGAATATCATTCGCAGCCAGGCACGGTGGCTCACACCTGTAATCCCAGCACTTTGGGAGGCCGAGGCTGGCAGATCACGAGGTCAGGAGATCGAGACCACGGTGAAACCCCGTCTCTACTAAAAATACAAAAAAATTAGCCAGGCGTGGTGGTGGGCGCCTGTAGTCCCAGCTACTCCAGAGGCTGAGGCAGGAAAATGGTGTGAACCCGGGAGGCGGAGCTTGCAGTAAGCCGAGATTGCACCACTGCACTCCAGCCTGGGCGACAGAGCAAGATTCCATCTCAAAAAATAAATAAAATAAATAAATAAATAAAAGAATATCATTTGCCAGAAAAATATTATATCAGAATGATATCACACATAATTTCTGGCATACTTCTGTAACTATGGGCACTAGCTTAAGCATTAGTAACAGGGAAATCTTATCTGTTTATGCCTTTATAGTCTCATTGTAAAAGAAAGGGGATAGAGAACACATTTGTGAAGTTTGTGTATTATATTTCTATAAAATTTAAAATCTAGCCTATTTCTGACTAAAACTGCTAACATAAAGGCATCCAGTTAACTTATTTAAAAACTAGGTAGATTTTTTAACTAAAATAATACAAATATATGAATTCCATTGAAACGTTTTGATTATATAGAGTTGTATAAATGAGGAATAGCCATTAAACTCTAAACAGAAAATTTATAAATGAGATTTGACAGATTCCTATAACTAAATCTTATGTTTATTTAAAGCATAGGTGTTGGGCCAGCAGTGAGAGAGAGCTGTTAGTGAACAGGATCTTTGATTCCCACAGCGCTAGTGATATCACAACTGGCCATAGGTGTTTATTAAAAAAATTCAGCAGGAAGCTTAAAAACTTGGTTAGCAGAACTCTGGGTGCAGCGGCTCACATCTGTAATCTCAGTACTTTGGGAGGCTGAGACAGGAGGATTGCTTGAGTCCATGAGTTTGAAACCAGCCTGAACAAGAGATCCCATCTGTACAAAATATTTAAAAATTAGCCAGGTGTGTCAGTGCATGCTTGTAGTACCAGCTATGTGGGAGACGAAGGGAGGTGACCTGCTTGAGCCCAGGAGGTGGAGGCTGTAGTGAGCTGCGATCACACCAGCCTGGGCTGCAGAGCAAGACCATATCTCAAATAAATAAGTAAATAAATAAATAAAACCTATTTAGCACAGATATTAATTTCAGGGTATTTTCTCTCTTTAAAGTAAATATGCATTTTGTAATCTAGAAACGGTATTTTAATATCTTATTTTTCTTATTATATTTGCCAATTATTAAGTCTATTAATAGTAGTATTTAAAAATTTTGAATCCTAAACAACTTTAGAAACTTCACACTCAAGAAAGAAAATACCCCAAATCTTCATATCTGGAATACTGGTCATTTCTACCACTACTAGAAATATTTTTGAATTATATCAACATAAGAACAAATATTTCAATGGTCTTACTGTTTTCAGGGTAACATCCGTCTCCTTATCTAGGAAGTATATTTTCACAGTGTGTGTTTTTAAAACAACTTCAAATCATTTATATGTGTCTTCCATTTAACTATTCAAAGATAGAAAACTAATGTTACTGTTAGAGTCTTAATAGTGGACAATGCCATTTTAACTGTCATTATCATTTCCTAAGGTGATCTGAACGATGATTAAAAACTAAAAAGGTAAAACAGTCATACACTGTTAATACCAAGCTGAAAAGGCATTATATATAATGGAATAATTGAATATGTAGCGATGGCTTTTTTATCCTAAGTAATATTCAGCATGACAATATTTGAGAGCTAAAAGAAGAAGCAGTCTATTGCATTAGAATCTGCTTTAGGAAGCTTTAAGGGCATAGAATCTTAGGAGTTAGGATGAGATTTTAAGCAACATTTTATCCAGGCTCTAATTTTATGGATTAAAAAATGAAGCACAGATGGTTTAAGATACTGGCTATTTAGGGTCAAAGCTGGGGCTAACATATAGGTCATCTTATACCAGTGTTCTTAAATCATTTATCAATATTCAAATAAAAGTTAAAAAGTTTGCTTCACTGGGTATATACTATTTTAGACAATGTGTGATTTGGAATTCATATCACAATTATTTTTCAAAAAAACTTTTCATGAAAGTTATTTTATTTTGAACTTTTTCACATCCAAATTTTTAAGTTTAATAATAATTTATATATATATATATTTATTTATATATATATATATATATTTTTTTTTTCTTCCCCCCGAGACAAGGTCTTGCTCTGTTACTCAGGCTGGAGTGTAGTGGTGCAATCACAGCTTACTGCAACCTCAAACTGCTGGGCTCAAGCCATCCTCACATCTCAGTCTCTAAAGTGGTTGGGATGAAAGGTACTCACCATTATGCCTGATGATATAGTTTCACTGTGTCCCCACCCAAATCTCATCTTGAGTTGTACTTCCCATAATCCCCATGTGTCATGGGAGGGACCCAGTGGGAGGTAATTGAATTATGGGGGGCAGTTACCTCCATCCTGCTCTCATGATAGTGAATTCTCAAGAGATCTGATGGTTTTATAAGGGGCTTTTCCTCCCCTTCCCTCTGCACTTCTCTGTTCTGCTGCCATGTGAAAAAAGACGTGTTTGCTTCCCTTTCCACCATGATTGTAAGTTTCCTGAGGCCTCCCTAACCATGCTGAACTGTGATTCAATTAAAATTCTTTCATTTATAAATTCTTGGACAGTTCTTTACAGCAGTATGAGAACAGCCTAATACATGTGGCTAAGTTTATTTTATTTTATTTTATTTTTTTGTAGAGACAGGATCTTGCTATATTGCCCAGGTTGTTCTTTAACTCCTGGCCTCAAGTGATACTCCTGTCTCAGCCTCCTAAATTGCTAGGAATACAGGTGTGTGCCACCATGCTCAGCCTGTTTAATAACAGTTTTGAAACACTAAATACACATATTTGATGTGCAGAATAATATTTAACAGTAACAGCAAAAGCCTTTCCCTTGTGTTTATTTTGTCAGTGCAGGCATTCTCTTGTGTAAATCAAGGTCATCAAAAGTTCAGAGTGATTTTTAGAGATATTCTCTCTGTCCCCATGTGATCACAATATCCTTTCTTCTGACTTCTGACTTCCTTTTTTGTCAACTCATCAAAATGTCTTTCTTTCCTGTTTCATAAAAACAAAAACAAGACCAAAAAGCAAATAAACATGTAATATTTATATATATAAAATATATAGACAGAAAATTACTTAGATTTTTTTCTAATTTGACCATTTCAAATATGAATCTTTCTGCATTGTCAGCATGTCCAATACAAAGTCTAATCTTAGGCAGTTTGCTGTGGTAATTCTTTTGCATAGTATGAAATGAAGGATTATAATGTCTATTTTAAATACATCATAGTAATTTGCTTGTTAGGGACTGAATTAGGTGATATATGATCAAGTGTTTGCTATATTTTAAAGTGCTAGTTAAGTAGAATCATTATTATATGAAAAATCTGAAGTTGCTAAAAATCATAACAGTTACTCAGCCATATGACAATGTTTTAGTTTACACGTCAATAGAAGATAAAATAATAATCATTTAAATTTTTTGCAGACAATTTATATAGCTTCAATGAGAAGATAAAATAATCATTTTTATTTATTGTAGACAATTCACATAGGCCTAATGAAGCAGAGGTTTAGCAATAATAATATTGAAGACTGAGAGTCATGTGAAAATTTGTAGAGGAGCCACCATATTTCACACTCATTCTTTATTATTAAGGTGTTATATATTTGCTTACCATGTGGCTAAGTAAGCTGCTATGGATTTGTGTTATAAGAACATGTATTAAATACATTTTGATTGTCCTCTAATTTCATATTTTATATCTAGAGTATTATTTTACTGATTTTTTTGCATTATTACATCCATTAAAATGAATCTTAAAAATAAATGAAAGAAGTATTCAGAAATGTATATGAGAACACTAGGTATGTTTCTATGTATATATACCCATTCCCTCATTCCCTTATTTTTTGTCTGGCCCTCTATAAAGAACTAGAACATTCTGTTTATATATTGAAAAGTAACACACAAACACATATGTACACATTTATATGTATGCTTAAATTTATGTATATTTTTATATTTATATGCATATATTTTTGATATCTGTACATATGTACATATATTCTCTTATGCAGGGTCATGCACAAAATCTTATTACATGTATATTGAAAGCTATTTTTAATAAAACTTTTACTAGGTGACAAATGCAACACTATACATTAAAAATTTAAATCTGTGAGAAAGTATATTAATAATTGTAAATACTATAATACATACTGTTGAGTTGACATTTTCTTTGGACAGTGAATTCCTACAGAAAGTTAAATGAAGATAGAAACTCATATTTTATGAAATAATAGAATTAACTTGCATTGAATGATCTTGGAATGCTTTATTGGTGACATAGTAGCCATAATAAAATGGGATTTAGGAAATTTAAAATTTGATATGCACAAAGAATGTATCACAGTGATTATAGAAGTGAAAATAATACAATATTTTTCCAGTCTTCTTTCAATTCTAACACTATCCTATCATCATGATAAACTCAGTAACAAGCAGAAAACAGTTCTGATACTAATTCAGAGACTTCCTCCTATTTTTTAAATATTCTAAGATTCACAACAGTAATGCATTTAATATTGTGCTTTGAAGATCTTGAAGTACAAAAATTTTACTTATTTATAACCCTGTATTATCAGAGGTTTTTCATGGAAAGAGGAGAGTACAAATCAGTTTAATAAAAATGACAGAACGGAAGTAAAGCTATTATGCAGTTGTTCTTGAGCTTCAGTGTGAATAAAAATCGCCTCAAATGAAATGAAAGTTTCATTAAAAAATGAAAGTTTCAGATGACCACCCCTAGAGTTTCTGATTCAGTTAACTTTTGGAGTTCCTGAAAGCAGCAAAAATCTGCATTTACTAGGTAACACAAGTCATTCCACTGTAGGGAATCAGGGACTATACTTTTGGAGAGTCTGTACTCTGCAAATGTAAAATGATTCTTTTTTTTCCCAAACTTAATACTTAAAGGCAGCTTTATAGCCCAGAATGGAGAGAAATACAGAACAGGAACTAGGGAAAATTGGCTTGATAGGAATTATCCTATATTATCCTATACATAATATAAATCATAATCATTAATTTGCTAAAAATTGTTTGTTCAATGCTTCATTATGTGCAGATAATTTTTTAGATATAGCTAATAGATTCTGAGAAGAAAACTGAAACTACAAGAGAACAGAGAGTGATAGGAGGTACTGGTGAGATAGAATCTCTCAGAAGGCTTCACAGAAAATTGTATTTTGTAGTATGGCCTGAATGTTACATGGAAAGCTATGAGGAAATCTGGAGAAGAGCATTTCTGGCAAAGGAAACAGCAAGAACAAAAGGCCTGATGTAGTGGCAGTGTTGAAAGGATACCAGGAAGGCCAAGGTGTTGGAAAGGAATAAGCAACGCAGGGAAAGCAAGGTTCCAAAACCCGTACTGTTAATGAGACCTCCCTTTTTTTTCCTGAGTGATGTGAAAACCCACTATACTTTATTTTGAGCAGTAAGTTATTTATCCTTCTCCAGATGGTCCTAAGCAGTACAAGTCATCCATTCACCCATGAGGATTTTTCAAGGAATGTGGGCCACTCCCCAATTCTATCATGCTGCAGCACATGAGAGTACTGAAAGAAGGAAGCAATCCCATGGAAAAATAAAAGTAGATACAAAAAGAGGAGAATCAAAAGAATTCAAAGGTGTTGATAATTAAAGTGAGAAACCAAAGTCAATATCCCGAATAAAACTTATAAAAGGAAAATGACATATGGTTTTATGAAAGCTGTTATAGTCTATTCCAAAACTCTTTCCTAACGCAAAGGCAGAAGACAACTCTTGCCAGGATCATACAGTGAACATTATGAGTTATATATGTAAAGATGACTTTGGCTACTCTGTGGAGAGAAGATTCTAGTGTTGCTACAGGCAAAAACAGAAAGACCTGCTAAGAGTCAAGAGCTGAAGTTTACTTGGATGAGATGGAAGTGATAACAATGTTAAATTTCTGAATACATTTTGAAGTTTGAGTCCACAGAATTGGTTGACAGATTAAATTTGAAAGAAAACCTCTGTAACTTTCTCTCTCTAGATACACTTCAGGCAGAAAAACAAATCATAGATCTGGAAAACTGGTGTGCTTGGCTGCTAATATCTTGCCCATCTTCATCAATATTATCTCAGGAGCTGCTTGCCCTCTGAAACTGCAGATCGGCTTCTCATTGCTGAGGCTGCAGTGAGGTGGGTGGAAGATGGAGATTAACACAGAGTGGTCACACTATTTTTTTTTCTGGTACATAAGCCAAAAATTGGATTCATACTTTCTTTAAAAAATACATCTATAAATATTTGTTTGTGTTAATACACTTAAATTGCTGTGTCTTTTAGAGGTACTGTTATTTAATGCTTTAATTGTGTTTTTTACAATAATGCATTAATTTATTTCAAATTATTAATTGATTAAAGTGGAGTCCACTAAAGCGAAAAATAAACTCCCTTACAACTTTCGAAACTTGCAGAAATTGCTGAAATAAGTTATTCATTTTTTATACTTCTCAGTAAATGTTTTAGAAGTCATGTAGGAATGTTAAATCTCCTCATATAGGCTCTCTGTCAGCAAGCAACGTTAAAGTATCCATTATTTCATTTTATGCTGTCTTGCATCTAACAAAAATAGGATATGTTAAATTGCATTAGGCTATTTTACATACACATGTAATTCTTTTCAACTTTTGACTGTAAGAATTTAATCTCTACTATTGAACTATATGAAAAATTATAAAAGAAATAAAGCTTTCATAGATTTTTATTTGAAAATTGCTCCTAATATGATAAAAAATTCTAACTTTGTCAATCAGCTTAAATATAATTTTCTTTGTCTGTATTACCCATACCATCTGCCTATAAATTTAAAAGAAATACTGTAACATTATTATGAATGCAATTTTTACATCTTTACAAATACACACATTCAGGCAAATGAATGCACCATAAAATCTTGTTTTTTTTTTTTTTAAATTAACAACTTTTACAATACCCAAAGAACAAGGCTAAAACTTGTTTAAACCCGAATATATGGTTAGATGTGGTGTTAAAAAATAATTTTTTTCACTCTCTTTTTAAAAGATCTAATTTTTTGGTAGGATCAGGTTTTATATATGAAAAATAAAGGGTTTAATTTTCTATATTTTTGGTTACTTTTCAATACCTTGTCATGGAAAATAAATAGTATTAGAAAACTTATTGAAAATAAAGCTAACAATAAAGCTTCTCCTAAGATCAACTTCTATAAAGTTCAGTTTATTATTAATATTTATGTATGTTGATATCAACTAAATGTCACCTGACTAACTTTTTCACAAGTTACACTTTAGATCAATTTTACAGTAAATTTAGATTTTTTAAAAAAATACCTAATTGCAGCTTCTTAGAGGACAACAATGGCATTATTCTGTTTTAGGCTTTTCTTTCAAGATGACTGAGGATAGTTTTTCATTTAGATTATTTGTAAACCACATTTCTACTCTGATTTACTATTAAACTATCAACAGAACTAACTTTATCTTTCGAATATAGAAGAGAAACATATCCTGAGTCAAATTTTTTGGAAGCCTTCATTAAATCAAACCTAATCTTAGATTCTGTAAGGCCTGATGATACATTTAATTATGTTGCAGGTTTATATAGTTCTTAATTTCATGAACTCATGAAAGAACATCTGGTTTGCTATACTAAAATCATATTTTTATTTTTCATTCCTTCTGTAATGGGATTGATTTAATGGTGGCAGTTTTTACTCTTATGCTGATGGACTCTTACATTGTCATTTGATACACCATATGGTGCGTAGGTGAAAATGATGCAATATTTAAAATATAAATTATGACAACCATGTTGATTTAACTTCAGACATCTAAAACAAAGTCAGCACTGAAGCTTTTTTAGAGCTCATTTTTGTGAACTTGATCTTTTTATGGACACTGTTACTCTTTTCTTTCAGTTATCTAATTATCTCTTTATCCACTAATTTGGTAGAGGATCATGTTTAGTGAAAGCTTCAATCTGATCTTTTATATATGTAAATAGCACAGACATTACACATTTATAACTTTTTTAAAGTTTTATAATGAAACAAAAAGTTAGATTAGAATAATTTTAAACTCTTCATAGAAACCTTTCCAGTTTTTTTTATTGTTTGGCATTTCATAAACTCCAGAACTTAAAATTTTGCTTCACATCAAATAAGTGTTACAGCTTCAATCTGGCATAATATATTCATTATTATAACAATACACGAAACATTCTGATTTCCAATTGAATTTAGAACAGATAATTCTACAATCAAGTGTATAAAATAAAATTTTCATTAGTGAAATAAAATAATTTGTGGATTACATTATTTTCACGTTTAAAAAAGTGATAATGCAAGCTCAGCTTCTGAACATGTAAACATTTTATTTACAAACATAGCATGGATCACATTATTATAAGTTGTTTCCATATATATAATGGTTTCAAAATAATTACCTGTAATTTTTTTATTTTGTTAACTTGCTTAAAAATGTATTTTATGATTTCCTGAGATTTCTCATAGGTTTCTCTTTGTCCTGTTAGACATTAAGTATTTTTTTATTGACATGGATTGTGGCAGTTAGTTTTATGTCAACATGCCTATGCTGTGATATCCAACTATTTGATCAAATCTTATGCTAGATATTTATAATATCCATGGGCCTCATCCAAAGAGTTGAAGCCCTTAATGGAAAAAAAAAAAAAAGCGACAAACCTAATGAACAGAAAGTCTGGCAGCAGACTACCTTCAGACTAACACTACATGATCAACTCTTTCTTGATTTTCCAATCTGCCTGACACTGCAGATTTTGGATTTAGCAAGCTCGCAATCATGTGAGTCAATTATTTAACCTAAATCTGTCTCTTACTCTCGCTCTCCATACATAGAGATATAGATACATGTATATTTTCATATCTCCTATTGGCTCTGTTTATCTTTAAATCTATACTTTCCCCCAAGTTACTGTTTAAATGCATGTCATAGAAGCTGGTATGCAGCATTTGCATTATCTTTTTTCTTTACAGAAATTCTATAGTATCCATTTTGTATGTGAACATTTATCCAAAAGTGTTTTTAGTTGGAAGAATTATTATTTCTTGAATTTTTATTTCTAATTATTACATGTATACATAATAGTTGAACATATTTATGGAGTACAGGTAATATTTGCTACAACTATACAATGTATGGTGGTCAAATTGGGGTAATTTGGATATTCATCACCTGAAACATTATTTGTTTTTGTTAGAAACGTTAATTCTATTCTTTATTTATTTTGAAATATGCAATAAATTATTGTTAACTATAGTCACCGTATTGTGCTACCAAACACTAGGTTTTATTCCTTCTATCTAACTGTATTTTTCTGCCCATTAAACATCCCTTACCCAGCCCCATTCCCACTACCCTTCCCATCCTCTGGTAACCATGATTCTACTCTTATCTCCATGATTTCTTTTTTTTTTTCTTATATTTGAGTAAGAACATGCAATATCTGTCTTTCTGTGCTTGGTTTATTTCACTTAGCATAATGACCTTCAGTACCATTGCAGTTGCTGCAAATGACAGTATTTCATTCTTTTTTATGCCTGAATAATATTCCATTGTGTATTCGTACCATCTTTTATTTTTTATTTATCTATTTTTCATTATGCTTTAAATTCTGGGATACATGTGCAAAACATGCAGGTTTGTTACATAGGTATACATCTACCATGGTAATTTGCTGTACCCATCAACCCGTTATATAGGTTTTAAGCCCCGCATGCATTAGGTATTTCTCCTAATGCTCACCCTCCCCTTACCCCCAAACCCCTGACGGGCCCTACTGTGTGATGTTTCCCTTCCTGTGTCCATGTGTTCTCCTTGTTAAGCTCCCACTTATGAGTGAGAACATGTGGTGTTTGGTTTTCTGTTCCTATATTAGTTTGCTAGGAATAATGGTTTCCAGCTTCATCCATGTCCCGCAAAGGACATGAACTCATTCTTTTTTATGGCTGCATAGTATTCTATGGTGTATATGTGCCACTTTTTTTTTTATCCAACCTAACATTGATGGGCATTTGGGTTGGTTCCAAGTCTTTGCTATTCTAAGTAGTGCTGCAAAAAAACATACATATGCATGTGTCCTTATAGTAGAATGATTTATAATCCTTAGATATATACCCAGTAATGGGATTGCTGGGTCAAATGGTATTTCTGGTTTTAAATCCTTGAGGAATCACCACACTGTCTTCCACAATGGTTGAACTAATTTATACTCCCACCAACAGTGTTAAAGCATTCCTATTTCTCCAGCATCGGTTGTATCCTCTCTAGCATCTGTTGTTTCCTGACTTTTTAATGATGGCCATTCTAGCTGGTGTGAGATGGTATCTTATTGTGGTTTTGCTTTGCATTTCTCTAATGACCAGTGATAATGAGCTTTTTTTCATATTTTTTTGGCCACAAAAATTTCATCTTTTGAGAAGTGTCTGTTCATATACTTTGCCCACTTTTTCATGGAGTTTTTTTTTCTTGTAAATTTAAGATCGTTGTAGATTCTGGATATTAGCCCTTTGTCAGATGGATTGACTACAAAAATTTTTTCCCATTCTGTAGGTTGCCTGTTCACTCTGATGATAGTTTCTTTTGCTGTGAAGAAGCTCTTTAGTTTAATTAAATCCCATTTGTCAATTTTGGCTTTTGTTGCCATTGCCTTTGGTGTTTTAGTCATGAAATTTTGCCCATGCCTATGTCCTGAATGGTATTGCCTAAGTTTTCCTCTAGGTTTTATATGGTTTTAAGTCTTGTGTTTAAGTCTTTAATCCATCTTGAGTTAATTTTTCTATAAGGTGAGGGCTCCAGTTTCAGTTTTCTGCATATGGTTAGCCAGTTTTCCCAACAGCATTTATTAAATATGGAATCCTTTCTCCATTGTTTGTTTTTGTCATGTTTGTCAAAGATCAGATGGTTGTAGATGTGTGGTGTTACTGGTTATTTCTGAGGCCGCTGTTCTGTTCCATTGGTCTATATATCTGTTTTGGTAGCAGTACTATGCTGTTTTGGCTACTGTAGCCTTGTGGTATTGTTTGGAGTCAGGTAGCGTGATGCCTCCAGCTTTGTTCTTTTTGCTTAGGATCGTCTTGGGTATATGGGCTCTTTTTTGGTTCCCTAAGAAATTTAAAGTAGTTTTTTTTTTTAGTTCTGTGGAGAAAGTCATTGGTAGCTTGATGGGGATAGCATTGAATCTATAAATCACTTTGAGCACTATGGCTATTTTCATGATATTGATTCTTCCTATCCATGAGCATGGAATATTTTTCCATTTGTTTGTGTTCTCTCATTTCCTTGAGCAGTGGTTTGTAGTTCTCCTTAAAGAGGTCCTTCATGTTCCTTTAAGTTTTATTCCTAGGCATTTTATTTTCTTCGTAGCAATTGTAAATGGGAGTTCACTCATGATTTGGTTTTCTGTTATTGGTGTATAGGAATGCTTGTGATTTTTGCACATTGATTTTGTATCCTGCGACTTTGCTAAAGTTGCTTATCAGCTTAAGGCTTTTTTGGGCTGAGACAATGGGGTTTTCTAAATATACAATCATGCCACCTGCAAACAGAGACAATTTGACTTCTTCTCTTCCTATTTGAATACGCTTTATTTCTTTCTCTTGTCTGACTCTCCTGTCCAGAACTTCCAATACTATGTTGAATAGGAGTGGTGAGAGAGGGCATCCGTGTCTTGTGCCGGTTTTCAAAGAGAATACTTCAAGCTTTTGCCCATTCAGTATGACAGTGGCTATGGGTTTGTCATAAATAGCTCTTACTATTTTGAGATATGTTCCATCAATACCTAGTTTATTGAGGGTTTTTAGCATGAGGGGGTGTTGAATTTTATCAAAGGTCTTTTCTGCATCTGTTGAGATAATCATGTGGTTTTTATCATTGGTTCTGTTTATGTGATGGATTACGTTTATTGATTTGTGTATGTTGAACCAGCCTTGCATCCTAGGGAAGAAGCTGACTTGATCGTGGTGGATAAGATTTTGATGTGCTGCTGAATTCATTTTGCCAGTATTTTATTGAGGACTTTCACATCAATGTTCATCAGGGATATTAGCCTGACATTTTGTTGTTGCTGTGTCTCTACCAGGTTTTAGTATCAGGATGATGCTGGCCTCATAAAATGAGTTATGGAGGATTCCTTCATGGTACCAGCTCCTCTTTGTACCGCTGGTAGAATTCGGCTGTGAATCCATCTGGTGCTGGCCTTTTTTTGGTTGGTAAGCTACTAAATACTGCCTGAATTTCAGAACTTGTTATTGGTCTATTCAGGGATTCAACTGCTTTCTGGTTTATTCTTGGGAGGGTGTATGTGTCCAGGAATTTATTCATGTCTTCTAGAATTTCTAGTTTATTTGAGTAGAGGTATTTATAGTATTCTCTGATGGTAGTTTCTATTTCTGTAGGATCAGTGGTGATATCCCCTTTATCATTTTTTATTGTATCTATTTGATTCTTCTCTGTTTTCTTCTTTATTAGTCTGGCTAGAGGTCTATCTATTTTGTTAATCTTTTCAGAAAACCAGTTCCTGGATTCATTGATTTTTTTTTTTTTTGAAGGTTTTTTTGTGTCTCTGTCTCCTTCAGTTCTTCTCTGATCTTAGTTATTTCTTGTCTTCTGCTACCTTTGAATTTGCCTGCTCTTGCTTTTCCAGTTCTTTTAATTGTTATATTAGGGCGTCAATCTTATATCTTTCCCACTTTCCCCTGTTGACATTTAGATTTATAAATTTCCCTCTTAACACTGCTTTAGCTGTGTTTCAGAGATTCTGGTACATGTTGTCTTTGTTCTCACGGTTTCATAGAACTTATTTATTTCTGCCTTAGTTTCATTATTTACCCAGTACTCATTCAGGAGCAGGTTGTTCAGTGTCCATGTAGTTGTGTGGTTTTGAGTGAATGTCCTAATCCTGGGTTCTAATTTGATTGCACTGTGGTCTGAGCAACTGTTTGTTATGATTTCCATTCCTTTGCATTTGCTGAGAAGTGTTTTACTTCCAATTATTTATTCAATTTTAGAATAAATGCTATGTGGTGCTGAGAAGAACATATATTCTGTTGATTTGGGGTGGAAACTTCTGTAGATGTCTATTAGGTCCACTTGGTCCACTACCCTTCCCATCCTCTGGTAATCATGTTTCCACTCTATCTCCATGAATTCATTTTTTTTTTTGTCTTTCTTATGAGTAAGAACATGCAATATTTGTCTTTATGTGCTTGATTTATTTCACTTAACATAATGACCTCCAGTTTCATCCATGTTGCTGCAAATGAAAAAGTATTTCATTCTTTTTATGGCTGAATAATATTCCATTGTGTATTCATACCACCTTTTAAAAACCATTCATCCATTACTGGACACTTAGGTTGAGTCCATATTTTGGCTATTGTGAATATTGCTGCAGTAAACATGAGAGATCAGATACCTCTTTGATATGCTGAGTTTCTTTATTTTGAACACACACCCAGCAATGAAATTACTGGATCATATGGCAGACATTTCTAAAAAGAAAAGATGCAAATGGCCACAGGTATGTGCAAAAATGCTCAAATCACTAATCATCAGAAAAATATAAATTGAAACTGCAATGAGATATCATCACATTCAATTTAAAATGACTTTATCCAAAATAAGAACAATAACAGAAGGTGAAGACGGTGTGATAAAGGAGAATCCTTGTACACTGTTTGCGAGAATGTAAGTTGGTGCAGCCACTATGGAAAAGTATATGGAGTGTCTTCAAAAACCTAAATATCGGTAAATTGTTTCTGAATTTCCATGTTTTTTGTTCTGAAATTTTCAGTTTCAGAACATTAGAATCAAGGAGTATCCAGGTACATTTCAGAAGGTTTCTTATAGGTTTCTTACAGAAGGTCATTTGAGGAAAATGTTTTTTTTTTTTTTTTTTTTTTTGAGACGGAGGGTCGCTCTGCTGCCCAGGCTGGAGTGCAGTGGCGCTATCTCGGTTCACTGCAGGTTCGCCTCCCGGGTTCACGCCATTCTCCTGCCCCAGCCTCCCGAGTAGCTGGGACTACAGTTGCCTGCTACCACACCCGGCTAATTTTTCATATTTTTAGTAGAGACGGGATTTCACCGTGTTAGCCAGGATGGTCTTGATCTCCTGACCTCGTGATCTGCCCACCTTGGCCTCCCAAAGTGCTGGCATTACAGGCGTGAGCCACTGCGCCTGGCCAATTTGAGGAAAATCTTTAATATGAGTTTGAAGGATGTATATTTGTAAGCATATCAAATGATTTAACATTTTTGAAAGGGAACATAATGAATATGTAATATCCATGGAAAAGGAAATATGAGCATATATATATACACACAAATATACACAAACACATACATACGTAAAATGTATTGCTGAGCCTCAATACATCTATTTTTAAAAGTATGAAATAGAAACTTGTTTGGTAGGCAAAAATATCAAAATTCAGCCAGACTGAATAGGTGTCTATTTCTCTTGTTATTGCAATATCATCCACCTTTTGTTTTTTCTCTTTTTATCTTGACCAGCAGGTTTCTTTGCATCAAGACCTGCAGTGACAGCACTGCAATATTTTCCTCACCAGGGTCCAGGAGTATTAGTCATTGAGTCCAAATGCAGTCACTTTGTAGGAAATTCCTCCTGAGGCCCATTGCTTAGAAGATAGATCTCTCTCCTTCTATATAGAGATAATGAAATTCTCCTTTTTCAGTACTGCATTACCTAACAGATATGTATTGTTAAAAATCAAACCAAGCTTTCATAAGGCATTAAGTCTGATAACTTACTTCCTTATACAGTTTCAAACTGGCTGGATGCACTGCTCTGGATAACTCTCTGAGAATGAAAACATTGCTTAGTATTCAACAGAGTTGCTCAGAATTAAAGTACCAAAGTCAGTAGATGTACTTGGAGTGAACATGGGAAATATTCAACCCAAAACTTTTAGATGGATATGTGATATAGTCAAAATTATCTTGTTTCTTCCTGTTCTCTTTATTGCCTCTGTACCTTCTGGAGCTGGGGGACCTTCTCCAGGCCTAAAGATCCTCCCTAGATACAGAAAACACACAATGATTTCCCTCTATTGCTTTGATTATGATGCACACTGAGATTATTTAGGGTTGTCAACCAGAAAATATCACAATATCTATACATTTAGAATGCAGACTTTATTTTTTGTAAGTAAATAAATCTTGACAGTCTGGGAGTATGCCTCCGGCCAAAACTGAAAGCAGGCACTAAAAGTGAAGGACAGATGAGACAGGAGTGTATAGTGAACAGGTTGGCCAAATATACCTGTTTAACAGGTTACAGAAGGAGCTATGAATATTGAGTAAAGGGGTCCTAAAGCATGTGTACTGAATAAACATCCATGTTGCATATAAATCAACCATGTTCACTTTTGGGTGGAGAATTAACATTTAAATGCATTACAATTAGGCTCTATATGTTAAAAGGTGACACACGGACATGAAGGCACTCAAGTGCGCAGCCTCTGTAAACCAACCAGAACCTGTCCATGGTCGGTGATTTTCTTATCTTGAGAAAGTTACTGAAATCAGTATCTTGTCCAACCAAGGCTTTACTTATGGCTTGTGGAATAGGAGAGGTAAGTTAGTCAGCATCTGGCAGTGGATGAGCTGCAAATTGCTTTAATATTGCTTATCTCAGGACAGTGCTGCTTTGGCTGCTAGAGAAGAAGAAAAACTCTGTGACAGAACATAGTTTATTCTTTAAGTGTAGGGGTGCATAACTTAACCTTTGTCTGGCATGGCTTTAGGCCTTGTGTATGATTTGGTATCTTATGGCCACAGAAATTCTGTTTTGTCAATCTTATGATTTCTATTTTAACATTGCAGTGATCAGTTGTACCTCTAAGCTGCAAAAGAATGGGAATATAATGAGACCTGTCCTATCTCCCATCCATTATGGCTGGTAATTCTGTTTTGAAGGTTTCTATGCCCTTGGCCAAGAGGATATCTATTTAGTTAGTTGGGGCAGTTTAGTATTTTATTTTTAGTTTATAGGATTCAGGAAACTTAAAATCCTTTGCTGGTAGGATTAGAGTGTCTACGTTTATAAAAACACAACTCATTGGAGTTTCATACTCTTGGTAAAGACTCATTAGTTTAGAATTTGTTTCTGCTTGCTTCTAACATCAAAATGGACTTGTTTACTAACTTATTACCTCTGAATTCTTCTATTTGCTGCAGTGCAGTTTCAATAAAGATAAATCTATACTCATGTTCTTCTCCTCTAAAATAATGCCTTCAAAGCTCATTTTCTTGAAAATGTACTTAAGGAGTGACTTTAATTGACAGGAATTTAGGCCCTGTGGAAATATAGTTAGACAGATTATTTAAGCTAATCGATTCTTTAAAGGATCCTGTAAATACATACAGCACATGGACAGCTATCATTTTGCCTTACACCAGCGTTAAGCATCATCCATGTGGAACAAATTAGTTTCTCTCTGTCAGTGACATTCAGGAGAAACTCTTGTGTTAAAAAATAGTTATAATGACATATAAATAACTTCCAATACTATCTTTCAGCTTAAAATGCCAGAGTAAAAGTATGTGAGTATGCATCTTTTTAAGAAAGATCATTTTGCAAAGTGATTTTTCTGCATAGTACTCAATTACAAAGGCAATGATAAGATGAAAATATATGTGACAAAGTTTCTGATATAAGAAGATTAGCTTGCACAGCTTAATAAAAGAAATAAGTATTTACTAAACAAACTTAGGTAACCTGAAAGAGTTTTAAAGTTAGAAAATTTCAGGATGAGAAAAACATCTAAACTCATATCAAAATGTGTAATGTATGATTACATCAAATATTTACAAAAATAAATTGATAGCCCAAATTGATTTATCTATAGTGCCTATGTAGATTGTGAATATTACAGTTTTCATGTAACTTGATTTCTATGTTAGGCATCTACATGTTAGCCTCAAGCCCAGAGTAAACTAAAAAGTAAATGTATAAGGGTTTGCTCATTCTGAAGAGAAACAAAATTTTAAAAACAAAGATGAGTCATGCATTTGCATATTACTAAACACATTGTAACATTTTAATCATGTGTAAAAGATGAGGTTTTATTTAGGAGTGACAAAGTGTACATAAAAGTATAATGAATATTGTGAGAATTGAAATAATTATCAAGATAACAATACAAATAACATGTTTTGAAATGTTCAAGGATGAATATGGAAAGACGTCTTGGAAAAGGAAATGTTTATCTGAGAATCAAATTGGAAAGGCATATAAATGGAGAAAGATTTGACACTTAGAGCTGAAGGAAAAACATTGCAGAAATACAGAAGTGAAACATCTTAAGTCACTTCTTACAACTTCAGATATACAGATTGGCTTGGTATTGGGTAAATAAAAGTTAAAGGAGACAAATAGGTGACAGGGAAAATATTTAATTTTGATTAGGATATTGGCTCATGATGCTAAACCAATCATGGAATGTTTAAAATTCTACTCTTTCTATTATGTAGATTCACCGTGTAGTTAAGTCATATATTTGGAAAGTAACTTGGGTTCCTTAGGATTGAGTCTTAATTTTGCTACTTACTATATGTGTAGAGTATCCATATATATATATATATCTTGATTTGCCAAGTTAATTCTGATCTATACTGATAAAGTCAGATAAATGCTTATTAATAGCTCCCCCTTCTCTATCTAACCATGCCCTACCTACCTTGGATGATGTGGTCACCACAGGAATTAACTTTTTTAAGTTTCAGTTTTCTTCATTTTAAATATGGATAATTACCGTAACTACCACATGGCATTGTTTTGGACTGTAAATGAGATACTCCCTACAGAGTACTTAATTCAGTAGTGTGCACAGAGCAAGCAATTGATAACTGTTAGTTATTATAATTTAATCATTTTTTAAAAGATAATGCCAAAATATTTGGTTGACTCAAAATATTAAATTGACCTACAATCAGTTGAAATGCTAATCATTCAGATTATTTTGAATGTACCAATTTCTACAATATTGACCTAATTGTTATATATAAATCAGTAGTTGTAATTTTTTCTCTCACTCATACACAGGCATACATGCACACACACACACACTCTCTTAAAAAATAATCTCCTAATTACATTATGTATTAAACATTTTTCTAACAAAAAAGTTTATAGTCATTTCCCAATTTGATTACTTAAATATGTATTGCTTCACAGAAAAAATGTAATTGAAGAAATATAAACAGGTAACCAAGATGACAGTAATGCAGCATCTCTAATATATTTACTGGGACACAAATTAAATAATTTGATAAAAGCAATATGTAGCCTGAAGTGATTGTTAAATGTATTAATTTTTTCAATCTTTTTACGAACGATATTATGCCCAGATTTTCTTAACTCAAACCTGTAAAAATGTCAGTTTTTGCATGATACTTTATATGTTTTAGTACAAAGATGTCTTTTAATTTTGTGAAGAAAGTAATGTATTTCCAGTTGAGGAATAAAGCTCTTTACCAGGTAATAGAAACATAAAAATAGAGTAATAAAAATATTTTGAAATATCTTTATATAAATATATAAATATGCCTTTATATAAAAGGATTTAAAGGTTTTAATGTTCTAATTCTGTTTATTCTGATATTTTTAGAATTTTAATTTAATATTTTCTCTCAAAGCATCCAAACATTCAAGAACATTCTGATATTTGTAGCAACTAAGATTCATGCCACGCACAATACTACTTCATAGATCCAGTTGAATTTTAATGTTTCTGAAGAAAATTCAGATAATAGTCATAACAGATTGATGCTGGACAGACTCATTTTTGTTACATTTTAAAATTCACTCCATTAACATTGCTCTATGATACTTCCCAAGATATGGAGGATACATAAATTTTCTTTTCTAGGGGTCAGCAAAGGTCATGACTAAGACAAAAATGAAGTGCCTCTTAATTTGGTGGAGGGTCCCTAGTACCTCACATACTGCAGCCAACTCATAAATTTTTTCAAGGTGAAGTTTGATAATGATTTCACTAGATGGTGCTGGTATAGACATGGCATCATTCAGAACATAAGTGGAAATGTGTAGCTTGTGTTTACTGAGCTCTGTAGAGTAAATTTGTTTTCCTTTTCTCCATCTGATTTGCTCAAGTAACTGAAATAAAAAGAGAATCTTTTAGAAATGTAATCGTAGATAATACTAGGGACAATAAAACAAACTAGTCTACATAAAAGAGAGCCACAGCCAAAATTCCCTATATTCAAGGTGTTTTGTGTTCAGAGAAAGCGTGTAAAAATGTGGACCAAGTTTAATTACCCGCGAATATTAACTTGCTCCAACAGACCCGAGTTATGTCAGAATTGAGTGTGTTTCAGATTATGATGCTTTCAGCTATTTTTTGTAAGCACATGAACAAATTCATGAATAGCATTTAAGTTTTATAGAATAGATTATGAATGGAAGTTGGAGATAAAATAGAAGAGACTTAAACATGAAGAAACTATGTGGAAGCCTTTTTGGATATGATGATCAATTGTCAATTGTTTTGCATTTTGAGACTTGAAGTTGATTCTTTTGGTCTTGACATCTCTATTCTAACCCAGTAAAGTTCATCCTGCTTTAATGAGGTGCTATTTTTTTTATTCATACTATGATGATAATTAAAGGGAGCATCACATGCTCAAGAATTACAAGTCCTTATTTGAGGAAGTTTGTTAGCAATGTTGAACTTTTGCTGTATTAGATTCTTATTGCTAGTGTAACAGATTACCACAAATTTAATGATTTAAAACAATAAATATCTTGTCTTCAGGTCTAGAGATCAGGATTCTGACATAGATGTCACCGGGCTAAGATCAAGGTGTTTTCAGGACTATATTTCTTCTGGAGCTTCTAAGGGGGAATGCATTTTCTTGAGTTTTCCAGCTGTTAGCGGCTGCCTGCATTTCTTGGAGCATGGCCACTTCCTCCATTTTGAAAGCTATCAATGGACAGTTGAGAATCTTTCTCATGTCACATCATTCTGACTCTGACCCTTTGACTCCTTTCACATTTAAAGGGTCATTGTGATTACATTATATCAACTTGGATAATCCAGGATACTCTCCTTATTTTATGATTATCTGATTAGCAACCTTAATTCCATTTGGTGAGTTTAATTATTTTGTCTTCTACAGTTGCAAGCAATTCTCCAGGATATTTGTTTTTTCTTTCTATAATTTTACCCATAATGTGACCAGGTTGACAACCCAGCTAAGTGTTTTGGCTGCCTATTCTGAAGACACTTGGAGAGATTAAAATGATTCTCTTCCTTGGAAGGTCTTTAATCTAGGAAAACATCTTACAGAAACAACACCCATAGCCTAGTGAGGCTTGGGATATAATAATCATTATTTGTTCTGTAATTTGGCTTTGATACATCTTAGTCCACACAGATAAGGCATTTTAAGGGTAGGGATGGGAATGTCTTATAGAGAAACAAGAACTGAAAATAGATACAGCCATTAAAGATGGGCACAAGTCAATGAATATTAGAAAGATCTGTAGGACATATAGGATATTCACCATATAAGAAGAGATTGCAGGGATTCGTAGTTCAGCAGGCAGTCTTAGGATATGTAACTGAATGAAATTGAGAGTGTCTATAAAGCTAGTATCATAGAGTTCAGAAGTCAAGACACAGCATTAAGAAATTCTAATAGAACATAGAGTGCCATCAGGAATGTTTATTTACTCTTAGCAGGGTGTATGGATCACAGGTTTATGGGTCATAGACTGGTACTCAGTTAGGGAAATATGTTAGGACAAGTTGCAATTTCCAAAATAACTGAATTACTGAATAACAAAATAACTGAATAGGCAAAAAAAAAAAAAAAATTGGAGACTGTAATAGAGGAAATTCTATTTGCTAGATGTGAGAATAAAATTTGGGAAACTGGAAAAGGTAAAAACCCAAATATTAAAAGTGAAACCCTAAGTAACAATTCTAGTAGTACTGCTCACTATTACCTCCTGAGTGCTGTGTAAAAATTAATGAATATTCTCCTGCTTAAGTGAAATCCATTTGAGAGACGGAAGTTAAAATTAGCTGATTCAAGTAGGCTGAGTAGGGGATTGTGAATATTTGAAAGAGGAAATGTGGGAATGAGAGGCAGTATCAAAGTATTTTAAAGATCTATTTTACAATTAGGGAAGCATATCTTATATTATTGTTATTTAATTTGTGAATTTTGTTTATAAATTATAAGTTTCACAGCAATAACCAAGTCTGTCATTTTAATTCTCTCTTCTAAGACAATGTCTAGGACAATGTTTATTCATGGAAACAGATGTCTTCTCTTTCAGGTTGTCTACTTTGGCAATTTTACCTCTCCTAAAACACTTTGTTTGACATATTAATGGTTTATAAATATATGTTGGCCTTAATTTGACTGGATTTCTGACAATTGCTGGCCTTTAAATGTAACAATTATATTGCATAAAGGAGAGATTATGGCAAACATGTAAAGACATTATTGGAGATAAAAATAAATTTCAGCATTTAATTATTTGTAATAATTAAGACACCTATTACTTCTGCTATTCCTGATGTTTATTCTTTTAATTCTCATTATTCAAAAAACAATTACTATTGATATGTTCTAACCCTGTGCTTGTTGCTCTAACTTGTGAGCAGTTTAATATTACTGTTTCTCCTTACATAATTTCTTATAGTTGTTTACCAAGTCCCCTTTATATTTTTATTTCTTAAATAAAATTGTACTTGTTTTACTGGACTTTATATGTGTTATAATACAATTTGAAAAGAAAAATATTCTAGCTCATGTCAACATATGTTTAACTATTTAAAAATTTCTCCTTTGCATTATTCTCTGATGATCTGGGCCTTTTATCCATTCTGATATCTTGATACACAATAGATAGGTGATGAATAGGTAGGTAGGTAGATAGATTCATTAGTTCATTCATTGATTACATAAATGTACCAAAAATCTCCAAAGTATAAATCAACATTTGTGCATGGCTCAATTCTAGCTTTTCAGGGATTTACAGTCTAAACAATATTAGAAAGTGTATAGACATAAAATGATTACATAAAAAGAAAAGTACATTAGTAAATACAAATATATTTTAAAATATAAAAACTTTTCTTGTTACCACACACTTCTTTTTGCTTTAAAATATTTTCATTATTTTCTAATATGTTATGATTATTTCTTTTTGAGGTGAGATAATGACATCAGCTAGTAAATAGCACAGATAAAATTCAGATTATCCTCTAACTACAATATTTGTGCCCTTTTCTAAGTACCACTGAATTAGCTGTGTATAAGAAAAACAAAAGGCATTTTAGAAGGATTAGTGGAAGTAAACTTGTTTATTTACTGATGTGGTAGAGAAGATTTTCACAAAGACATGTAACTTGACTAGAGTATAAAAGATAGATGCAATTTAGATGCTGAGAATGAGAAAGATAATCATTATAGGTACAAAACAGAATAAGCAAAGGCATGGAGATAGAAGTTAGCCTACAATGTTACCAGAACAGTAACAGCAAGTGCAAAAGTCTGCTTGAATCATTCTATTTCACTTTTTTTCATCTCAAATTCAATGCTAAACCTTTATCCAATCAGCCTATCAGGTCAGGAATTACTTTCAGGACAGACAAATTACTTTTACCCAGCATATAGTTCCAAAATCTAATGCCAGAGTGGTTTGCTTTTCTTCATTTGTAAACAATTTGGTGTCTGAAGTTAGAAATATTGGATCCACACTTTATATAGGAATATATTAGATTTTTAAATTACATGGCATTGTATATGTCACACTCCAGCAGTCTCATTCCTTAAAGGATAAAGTTAGTCATGAATAAAATTCTTGCACTTGAAATACAGATGCCTGATGAATATACAAGGGTAAGTAAGTGAAATATGTATTGCTGAAATGAGGAGGGAGCTGAAATTAGCCTACCAAGGAGACAAAAAGTCTTCTCAAAACTCATTACTTAAAATAGAAGAGCACAAATGGTCACCTTTTATTGTATAGTCTAGCTTTTCATTTCATTTGCTACAAGGGTGGCCAAGAAGCAAAATGCCTGTTTTGACTTATACCACTCAAGTGTGAAAGTAACCTTTTGCTTTAATAATTTATTCAGGCTCTAGCGTGGTGTTTTAATTGGCCAATGCTGCCCTAAATCCTACATTCTGCCAAATAATATCATACTTGTAGAACATCGTTTTGTTTTAATTTCTTTCATTTTAATATAGCATTAATATGAAATCTGTTTTACATCCCAGTTGCAATTAATGAGTATAATCAGTGTAATTATTTGAATGGTAGTTGCAGCTGCTGTATGCTAGGGCTGTAAATGTTTTGAATATTATAATAATATTTTTCTAGAATTAAAAAGGAGATGTGAATGCCAAATACAGTTGATACTGAGAAGTTGATTTTTAAAAATATTTCTGGCACCTATAGTTTTTTTTATGTTGATGTAGCTAATTTTTCTTTTCCTTCATTTTGTAATGTTTACATTCAATTTCTAGCAATATAATTTGGTACAGAAATTTTTTTATTCTTCTGACTTCAAATAAAATCAATTATGGTAATAATAAGAGAACAAACAATTGAGACATGTAGACATTCTAATCACCTTCTTTTAAAATTAGTAATATGGTCTATAAATTATTTAAAATTACAATTAACCTTAAGGATGCATTTTAGTTCAACATTGGGAAAGATGAGAGAAATAGTAACACATGTCCTAAGAAGATTTTGTGACATAAAATTCAGCTCTAGGTAAACTTTGTCATACACTGATATTTTAATACTTGAGGCAATTATGTGTTATTTTTACTTACTTTGAAAGTTAATAAGTTATCTTACACTTTAGAATCACTCTTTCTGCATAGGAAAGGGTATTTAATATTTTAAAAGTAAAGACTTAAAAACTATTGGAGAAACGTTTGCTTTATATGAAAGTATGAATATTGTACAGGTATCAAAGACACTTCTAAAATCCGAGCATTGACAATTTTAAAATATTGACAATCTTCAAGTCCCCCAGCCATTTAAAATATTCAATTATCTTTATTTTTAAGAGTAAATCAACCTGTTCTTATGTCTATGTAAATTATTGAAATTGAATTGTTTTTCAACTTTTTAAAATTTCAACTTTTATCTTTTGCCTAATGTGAAAACTGAAAATAATTTAGCATAAGGCTGTCATCCCCTAAAAAGTAGCACATTTCTCATCTTCATCTTGTGCTTCCATCCACCAAAAGCCTGAGTGAAAAAGAAAAACTTCCGCTGTAAGAGTAAATCAGTATCCCCAGTGCACTTTGCATTTATACCTCATAGCTATCTAAATATTACTATTTGAGATTATCCTTTGGGTTCCAATGCTGTGGTCATATATACAGTGTTAAGTCTCAGATTCCAAATCAGGGCTACAATATACAATATGATTCAAGTCATCTGTAACAGATGTATTTGGTAGTTGTTAAATGTATTTAGATTAAATTGGATTAAATTGGGAAAAGTGTTAATTATTTCATCTTTATTTTTCAAGTGTTAGGAATCAAATGATATTTTAAATTTCATCTTTCTTTACATCTAGCATTAGTTACTCAGTGTGAATTTGTAGGATGCCTCACTATTATATTATAAAAATATGGTATATATTACTAAGGCAGTTTTTATTATATTTAAAAATATTATGTAAATATGAAATAATTAAATTCCATTAAAACATTTAATATATTGAATATTATAATCGTGTGTAAAATAAAAGTTTATTGGGATGGTGAGCACCTGTAGTCTCAGCTACTCCGGAGGCTGGGGCAAGGGGATGGTTTGAGCCTGAAATTCTGAGTTCAGCCTGGGCAACATAGCAAGACCACGTCTCTTAAAAAAATGCATATATAAAAATTGATTTAATTGTTATTTTGCATCATATTTGGAAAATTTTATGAGGTTTAATGTAAATATAAACTATTAATATTTATTTTGGTTAAAACAATATAATGAAACACTTGGAAAGTAGAAAAATATACAGTATGAAAATCATACAGATTACCGTAGGCAATGTGACATTTGTTGAATGTGTTTAAAGTTTGTATTTTTAAAAATTTCTTTTGTCATTTTTGTAAATTGCATTAGAGTATTTGTAAAATTTTAGGAGATTTTTAAATCGTATTTTTTGACTGAATATTTTTAATCAGATGCATTTAGAAGAAAATTTCTGTGAAACATTCTATTAATAAAAATAAAAATGAGTATTTTTATTAATAGAATAATAAACTTAAAATTATTCAGTTTTATAATTTGGCTTATTGTTTGTATGAAGATACATAACAGTTTTATATATCTAGATTGTTGAAATGTTAATTTATTCTATTTTTATAATTATGTGTAATACCAAAATTACCATTTTTGAATGTAAACTTTTGCCTATAATCTTAACGATTTCAATGAAATAAATTTAAGAAGGAGAATAATAGAATATTAGCAACTCTTTTAAAAATTAAAAATCTATTATGATGGTTAGTTTTATGTGTCTACTTAGTTGGGCCACAAGATGCCTAGTTGAACAATTAAACATTATTTCTTAGTGTGTCTGTATAAAGCACAGGTTGTTCAAACAATTGGGTAGACACTACCCAATCAGTTGAAGGCCTGAATATAACAAAAAGGTGGAGGGAGGTTGAATTCCCACTCTGCCTAACTGTTTCATCTGAGTTATTAGTCTCCTTCTTTCGGGTATTTTTCTTCTCAGGCCTTTAGACTGCAATCTGTACCATTTGCTTTCTGGCTCTCAGGCCTTTGAACTATACAAACAGTCTTCATGGGATTCCAACTTGGAGATATAAGAGCAGATAATGGGACTTCTTAACCTCCATGATCACCTCCACAATCACATGAGCCAATTTCATAAAATAAATCTCATTCTATCTATCTGTCCATCATCTACCTTTCAGTTCTGTGTATTTTCTGTGGGTCATGTTTCTTTGGAGAACACTGATTACTACCTTAGATACCTAAAGTAAATATTTAAAGATATTTCTTCATTAATTTAAGATAGAAATTACATAATACATAATAGTGATTATTTTCTTGCTTTCCTCATGATCTATTATCCTTGGTATTGTGTCATCATTTTATTTACTCTGGTTTGTAATGGCATGTTATAATACTTATAAAAAATTCTATTTTTCATTAATATTTTTGAGATTACTATCTTTTTTATTAATTTTACTAACATTTTTCAGGTTAAAAGAAAACTCTCAGAATTATCTTAGTAAAATTAATTGGAAATTCTAAGTAAAATTTGGAAGATACAGATTTTATTCTAATGTTTTTCATTCACATATATGCCTTTCATGCATTTATCATTTCTATTTTTATTTTCAATGTTATATTGTTATAAGTGATATAACTTGTCAGAAACTTTGTCAAATGCTAGATACACACACCCACACACAAATATACTCATCTTTATTGTTGATAAATTTTTATTCCTGAATGAATAATTTCTAAATAATATTTATGTAAACAAAGCCAAACATGGTGTGTTCTCACTCATAAGTGGTAGCTAAGCTATGAGGATGCAAAGGTATAAGAATGACACAGTGGATGTTGGGGACTTATGGGGAGAGGATGGGAAGGGGGTGAAGGATGAAAGAATACAAATTGGGTGTAGCGTATACTGCTCCAGTGATGGGTGCACCAAACACCACCTGTTCCCCAGTAACTTATGGAAATTAAAAAAAAAATCAGCTAAGGAAATTGTTTAGAACAAAAGACAATTCAACATAAGGGAGAAGAACCTCACTGCAGATGGCTGAGAGAAATTGCAAATTTAAAGAACAGGACTTTGGATTTTATAACTAGAAGTTACTAACAAAAGCAGTCTTAGTGGAGTTGTGATAGATGAGGGCAGATCTAATATAGTGAATAATTAATGTGAGGTAGTGTTGAAGAAAAAAAATGCAGACTACGTTTTTGGAGGGTAGGGGAACTTTGATGTTTAAAACAAAAAAAACAAATCGATAGAATTTTCTATAATGTTAAAGAAGCTTAAACATGTTTAAAGAAATCTGAGAGGAAAGTGGCATAGGAGAGAGAGAGAGAATGTGTGATTAACAATACTACGCTGGAGCTGTGATCCTCAAAGGGTGTGAAGCTATGAGGCTGCCTGCAGCAGTTTCACAGGCGATGGGCTTGTTGAAAATGTACATTAGTAGGTTCTGCAACAGAGCTGAAGGTATGCATATTGACATTTAAAATATACTGCTCTAGAGAAAGACATTTATATTGTCTGAAAAGACATGAGAAGATGGGTTCCAGGATATAGATAAAAGAGCTAACATCCACTAAAAAAAGTAATAAAACAAAAGCAAAGAAAAATTTCCTCTTCTTAGACAGGAATAAAGAAACTAATTGAGAGTCTGTGTTTTAGAAGAAATGTTTTAGCTGAATAACATCTTCAGGAATTTTAGCCTTATGATTTTTATTTTAAGTGATAGCCTCTAATATGTAAAAATAACAGGAAAAAAGTTATGGGTTAAAACAGTTTGCACTAAGAATTCAGATATTGAAAATGACAAATTTCAGTGATGCAGAGCCTCATAGTTTTTATTTTCTTCCACAAACACATACTACTTAGAATGTTATAGGAGCAGGGAAGATAGGTAGAATAATCTGGAAGAGATACTTGCAGGGTACACTGGAATATGGGGGATGTAATTTTGATTACTTGATTTTGCAGACTACGTAATTTAGATTTGATCATGAAGAAAATAACAATTAGAAGTAGGAATATTGACCAGAACAATGGAGATGAGTTAAATGACTGAAGTGCCAATTAGATCAAAGTGTGTCAGTTAGTGAGAGAACATTGTGAGCAAACTGTTGTAAGAGACTTGAATTTTGGAGATTATAGAAAATCAGCTTCATTAGTTTAATCATAGTTCAGTTTCATGGAAGCAAGAGATATGATACTTAATTCGGTTTTACGCTAAAAACAGGATTTGATCTAAGTTAATGGAAAATCAGTAAATTCCATATCACCTATTAATCGGAAGAATATTATATCAGTCACCATCTACAGTTTGAGAAACGTTGGGTGAAATATAAATTCTACATAAATGCCAAAAATGATAATAGATGTATGATAATACTAAGATAAAATTAAATGCCCAAATGATAGCATATTAAAAAATTAGTTTCAGATATATGCAAAACTTAAATGTGAAGAGAGTAAATTATTTACAGTAAAAAATATAAAAAAATAAAGATCATCAGGTAGAGAAGAATGTTTATAAAATAGCCAAATATGCAAAACATGGAGAAAATGATTGGCAAAGTTCATTGTATCAAAATTGTCTTTCTTAATTAAAAAAGTCATCAAAGTTAAAAGTCACTTTTTAGAATACATATAGCTAACAAAGGTTATTTGGGGCAGATAAAATACCCTAATACTGTTCAGCAATTCAAATCCTAGAGCATGTGTTAAGAAGACTGTTCTTCTTGAGATTCTTGTCTTTTTTTTTTTTTTTTCTTTTTGAAGACAGAGTCTCCTCTGTCGCCCAGGCTGGTGTGATCTTGGCTCACTGCAACCTCCACCTCCTGGGTTCAAGCAATTCTCTGCCTCAGCCTCCCGAGTAGCTGGGTTTACAGGTGCCTGCCACCACGCCTGGCTAATTTTTTGTATTTTTTTTTAGTAGAGACAGGGTTTTGCCATCTTGACCAAGCTAGTCTCGAATTCCTGACCTCATGATCCACCTGCCTTGGCCTCCCAAAGTGCTGGGATTACAGGCCAAGACTGCTTTTAAGTCTCCATGAGTAGTGGTATTGTTTTGAATACCATGGCAGATGAGAGAATAGAGCTTTTCCAATTTTAAGAATGTGTAACAACTATCTCCAGAACTTGTTTAAAATGTCAGTTACCAATCAAAGAGATTCTATCTTATGAATTCTGAATTGTGCTTGAAAATTTTGCATTTGAGAATCAAATGAATATCAGTGCTTGGAAATAGAATATAGCTGTGATATCTAAATTCATTTTCATTATCAGTGGCAGTCAGGAAGCCTTGTTTCTCTCAATAACTTTTAAAAGTCATGAATACATTTTCCAGATATACTAAAAATCAGTATACATATTGTGTTTATATATACACTATACACACACATATATATGTGTCTGTGTGTATGTGTGTGTGTGTGTGTGTCTATATATATATATATATATATATATATATATATATATATATATTTTCCCCCCCCTCACAGGGCCTCTGTTTTATAAACATTCAGAACAGTGGTTGCCTCTGGAGACAGGTGGGACAAATGTATAGGGGCACATAGAGAACACTTCTAAATTTCATTTGCTGTTTAAAAAAAAGTAGTATTTTTTATGCTTTTGTATATAATTAAAGGAAAACCTAATTGAATGTATACACTGATCTGTATGTTTTCAAGACAGTAGTAGTCACAAGATATACCTATGAAGACATCAAAATTAAAAAACAGCTCATCAAAAATTTGTTTGGTTTAAAATCAACTGAATCCCATTTTTGCTAGTTAAAATTGGATACAACTTTATTAAGGAATACTGGGCAACTTTCATAATTTCTGATGGGTCATAGCACCAGGTTGTGTATCCAGGGACCACCTTCCAAATCACAACGCAGCTGCCAAGCAGCAAATAGCTTGAATGGCCAACAGGATCATCCATTATCACTGTGCCTCATCACTCCAGGAAACTTGCCTTCCTGTAGTTGTTGCCAGAGGCAGATTTTAGCCATCTCACTTGTTTTCATCTCCAACTTTTAACTTAAGGACTGGGTGGATTATTTTATTGTTGCTGTTGAGCCCATGCCACATAACCATGTACCAACTGCAAAAAAAAAAAAAAAAAAAAGGAATAATCAACATTTTTAAGCTCCAATAAGTGGATGCTGTCTCACTGAGAATCATAATGTAAGGATTTTCCCAAAGACAGAAAAGGTGTTCATTTACTAGGCAACCAGAAAGAATAGCAAATCTTTACTGTAAGCTGTATTCATGACACAGACACCATCTAGATTTTCAAAAAGAAACTGTCACAGAATTTTTTTTCTTTCCATGTGCATGTTTATAAAGCTGAGTTTGTCAATCTCAGTATTGATATTTTGCACCAGATAATTCTTTATTGTGAGGGCTGTCTTGTTCATATTAGAATGTTGAGAAGCATATCTGGCCATAACAGTCCCCTGTCCCTCTCAGATGAGACAGCCAAAAATGTCTCTATTTATTGACAAATGTCCTTTGGGTGGACTACATTGTCTCAGTTAAGAACTGCTGCTATAAAGTGATGTTCAGGAGCTCAGCTTCACCATAACAGACAACATGGAGGATATAATGTGTAATCCCAGTCCACAGAACATACATGTAAGCCTATTTTAATGCTCACATCAGTTATATACTTTTTAACCAAATCCAATTGTGTTCAAGTAGAATTTAAACTTCATCAGTTAAGGGCATCCATCATTTTATGACATGGTTATGAAATAAGTACAAGCCAGCATATTATTAATAAATGTAACATCCTTCTTAAGAGTTTAGAATTATACTGCATGAGCACAAACTCTTTCTTATTTATTATTTCTGTGACAGGGCACAGATTACTGTACCTCAATTTTTTTCTTCTCGGTAAAATGGAGATTTAAAAAGCAAATATATCAAACACTTAGTGTGAGAATTAACTTGTGTAATCTATGCATGAACTAAATATAATTTTTTTTACTTCAGTGACTGCCTGAAAATCTTTGTCTCCAACACTGATGCGCTTTCTGAACTGCAGAGTCATATAGCCACCTCTTTACATAACGTATCCTCAAATTTGACTTTGCCAAAAGAGAACATCTGATATTTTCCCTCCGCACTTGCTCCCTTCCAAGTTGCTCCTATCTTAAAACAGATACTGCTATACCCAGTTGCTCAAGCCAAGAATCTGAGTTACCCTTGAGTCACTTTTTGCTTTACTTCCCACCTATAACCATCACTAATTTCCATGAATGGTGATTCCAAAATATGACATGTAGAAACCTATGTCTCTTCTTTTCCGACCACTATCTTTGTCTAAAATGGCCCTTATAGACCAATGCAAGTTTCTTTACCTGGCCTTTTGCTTCTATTCGTATTTCTTCATAATCCATTTTCCAGAATCAAACCAGAGTAATTTTTGAAAATGTAAATACGAATTTGTAATTTTCCTACTTAAAACATTTCAGTGTTTCTTCATAGTATTTAAAATAAATCCAAGCTTATCCCTTTGCTAATAAATGTGTTCACATACTTGCTATCTATCTGGCCATTACCTACTTCTTTTTCTTAGTCTTGATCAATATATTTCAGCAAAACATCCTTCTTTCTGTTAATGAACAGTCCTGCTGCACTGCACAACTCCAGGGAGCATCAGTCATCCTACTTAAAATATACCTTTGAGCCTTTTTGACAGCTGCTCTTGCATCTTCTTAAAAGAGGCTTTTGTTAAAGCTGGCTTATACCTGTCAATCAGATCTGAGCTAAAATGTTACTATATCAGACTTTTCATGATCATCCAAATATAAATACCTTCACAGTGACAATAACATAATTGTACAGAATTTTAATGTTATGCATATACTGTATGTTTTGTGTATATGTGTATATAAATTGATTAAATTATTTGCTCGTCTGCATCTCTGAAGTAGAATTCAAGCTCCACTAACAAAATAAATATGTCTGGCTTTTTAACATATATCATAGGTAAGTAGCATAGTGGCTGGTATACAGTGAGACTTAATATTTGTTGAAGAAATGAACAAAGATTAAAGTCTTTTGAGGAATGGAGCAGATTTTTCATAATTATAAAATTCTATGATATATCCTATCCAAAGGAGAATTTTACCTAGAGGGCAACCAAGTAGCAATAAAGCCTTCTGATTTTTATAGACCAAGAGAAAAAAAATAGTAATTAGCCTATGGTTTCTAATATTTAATTTGCAGAATAAAGACATAAAAACAAACAAAATAAGTTCCATTTATTATTTATTATTACCAAAAATGTAGGAAGGACATAATATCCAAACACATGATAGTCTTTTAACTTGAATTAAATGTCATAGACACAATTATTCACATTATGTGTGTTTTTTCACAATGTTTTATTTGCAAACTAGTAAAAGCTTATTTACAAAACAATGGACCAAGTTTGGGAAATATTGGTTGAAAGCAGAGAATAGAATTCCTTAATTTAAACTGAGAATGGTCAATTTCATGTGCCTTTTACAGAGCTGGCACAGGTAGTTTTGCCATCTCTGACTCAGAGAACCAAAGTCTTTGTAAAGCCTTATTATATTTTCTGTATTTGAACTTTGCCTCTCTTAGTTTGAATACCTCTGGTTTATGAAGTGTTGCATGTCTTGCCTGATTCAATTATACCTTATACAAACTGCCTTTCCCAACCTGTTTTACATAACTTCAACAATCACTAGAAATACTAGCTGCTAATACCTGTTTGACCCTAGCCTGGATCCAGCAATGAAAGTAGAGATGCTTTTTGAAAAAGGTGACTGCTAGCCTAGCTCTTGAAGGTAATTGGGAAATAATCTGATTTGAGGAAAGAGGTAGATAGCTATTCAGCGAGCAGACAGAAGGTAATGGCATGTGCAAGACACAGAGGTGGAAGTTAATGAGTCATGTATAGGAAATGATATAGAGATTTACTTGCCAGGGGAGAAAAAGACTTCAGATGACATTTCAATCTTTTCCTTTTCTTACTTATTTTCTTTGCCTTGATTATTTTTTTTAAGAAGATTGAGCTGGAGAAGAAATATATGGGCCCACAGTTCTGATTTGTTTTGAGACACAATACTCCAAAATCATTCTCTACATGCAGAAGTTTCTCCATGTCCTCGCAAAGGAAACAGTTTTATACAATCTACATTTTATACATCATTCAAATATGGGACAATCATTTTTTTTCTGAGCTTGCTACAGCAGGTTTCTCTATTCTCGTTAAAGCAAAGCGGATTTGAATGATTCATCTCTCATCATTTAGATGACATACACACACAGATGTGGCAGCTAGGCTCCTGCTCTCCAGGCTGAAGGTGAAATGATGTATTTGGTTTATGATGGATATCACTTATAACTGTTGCTGCTGTAGATGTCACTGTATCCTTAGCCTCTTATATACTCAGGAAACTTTTTTCCTGGATTGTTTATCCTAATATGATTTGTACAAGACCCAGTAAGCAAATCAAATAGTACTTTCTGATTTTTTAATTCCAGAAATATTCTTTCAGGAAAGAATGTATCTTTTCTATAAAGGTACACTTTTATTTAAACATTGAAAAAAGATAAAATAACTTTCCAATAGTTTCTCTTCCTCCAATATGCTCAGTCATGAGTTAGGTCATGAGTTAGGACTGATTTAGAATATTGTCATGATTGCCCTTTGCTTTTCTATGTCATTTTAAAGTCCAAGTTTCTTGCATGTAGCAGCTTTTAATTAAAACTGACATATTTGGCCGGGTGCGGTGGCTCATGCCTGTAATCCCAGCACTTTGGGAGGCCGAGGCAGGTGGATCACCTGAGGTCAGGAGTTCAAGACCAGCTTGGCCAAGACGGTGAAACCCTGTCTCTACTAAAAAAATACAAAAAATTAGCCAGGCGTGGTGGTGGGCGCCTGTAGTCCCAGCTACTCGGGAGGCTGGGGCAGAGAATTGCTTGAACCTGGGAGGCGGAGGTTGCAGTGAGTCGAGATAGCCGCCACAGCACTCCAGCCTGACTGATAGAGCGAGATTCCATCTCAAAACAAAACAAAACAAAAACCATATTTTTTGACTTCTTTAGTAAAAATCTCTTATAAGCATAGTGAGGAACATTTTTGTCAATCCTGTCCATTTACTTTCTCCAGATAACACACAAAGATTCTTTTTTTCGTGGTTGTACTGAATTCTCTATTTTACAATGGAGTTTGCTGTATTCATATAAGTTAAATTTTACCGTTTAGGTAAATATATTGTCATTGAAGCTAATCCTACTTCCCAAATGACTTACTTTCTTGCACTGTTGTGATTTACTTTTGTGGCTCGCACGTTTTTTCTTTATACTAATATCAAAACAAAAGTGGCAGCATGTACATGTAAAAATAAAATTAAAAGAAAACATGAGTAACTAGAAATGAAACTAACATAATGTCTGAGGTCATTCTTCTAACTAATGAATATTTCATGCATTCTCCAATCTCTATCACCCACATCTGATATTACAAGCTTTACACTCTAAGCTTTCTTAATGTCATTCTACCTACTATATCTTTCCAATGCCTATCCAGGTTGGCAACTTCAACATCCACTTTGATTAATTTTATGTAAATTAACCTCTTAGTTGTTTCATTCGTCTGAACTCATTTCATTTCATTCTTGTGAACTCTGAACTTATTTCAGCACAATGACAACCAACGGTTACATAGCCCATGTTTTAAACTTCAGTCTTATTAGAAATAGACATCATCAGTGTCAAATTATAATCTCTCTTAGATGACAAGTTTGCTGTTTTCTACCCTTACGTCCTATACTCACTTCCTTCTCCCCTAAGCCTTAGATTCAATCAAATGAAAGGTCCTGACATATCCGTCTTCTAAAATCCCTCAAACAGCCTCTCTTTACAATACTCCCTGGAATTTTGATTATTCACTCCCATTCCTGGAACAGTCACATCTTGATTATAGTATTTTCCTCTCCAAATCTTTCACTGCTTTGAGTTCAGTCATCTGTAAAATGCTAAGCTAATAGTGGCAGCTCTCTGATTAAAACCCTTGGATAGCTATCCATTATCTTTGTCTAAATCATTTTAAAATATCTTAACTGTCATGTTTTTTTATTTTAATTTCCTCTGTCAAAACGTAAGATTTCCTTATTGTTTCATGATTAATATGAACTTAGCTTTCCTGTGTGAGCTTAGATGGAAAATTCTATGAGAACATACTCTAGCTTACTAAAGCCAGAATAAGTGACACACAAATGTTTTTATACTCCTATGTGTCTTATTTTATTATAGAAACTATAAATCATTTTTACATTAAGGTACTCTAATTTTGGGTAGTTATATTTTTCTTTTAATCTGCATTTATTCACATATTAAATTCTAGTTTTATTTTACTTAATGCATTCTTTAGATCTGCAGTTTAAAAACACTTTTTTTAGAAGCCTTCTCTAATCTCCTCAGACTATACCAGATTCATTTTATAAATACTTTTATAGATACCAGAATTTGTTCTCAAAATACAATTTATGATTATGTATTAATATAAATGTGTGATTAATGTTTGCCTCCTTGATTAAACACTTAAGCTCATCAGGGTAGGAACTGAATCAGTTTTGCTGCTTATTGCATACTCAACATGTAACATTGAGCCTTACAATAATAATAGGTATGTATTAACTATTTTGTTATAAATGCATAAATCATTTTATTGGATTTCAGATTTACGTATTAGTGAACTGCTTAATTCACTAAAAATGTGTAAAAAATCCTTTTGTGTCATGATTCTGCTTGTAAATAAGACACAATAGGTCATGGCTAGCTCAAGCTCCTATGACAATTTGTTTTTGACCCTAAAAATGGCAATTTCATATGGTTCAGCCCTAAAAAACTGAAACCCATATCAATTATAAAATTATCTTTTAATGATATCAGAGAGCTGTGAATGCTATGAGGATTATATAAGTAAATGTTCCAGACAATAGAACTTTTTTCATATCAGTTGTAAAATTCTATTTTAATGATATCAGAGAGCTGTGTATGCTGTGAGGGTTAGATAAGTAAATGTTCCAGACAATAGAAATTTTCTAAGAGAAGTTGATGCACTTCTCTGGGTGTTCATTAATTCTTAGAATAGGTTAAACACTGGAATTTTTCAGACAGAAAACATGTGTCAAGAGAAGAAGAAATGAATCATTAACACAGAATTTAATGGTCATGTGAGCCTGATGGGAAGAATTGTAAACTAGAGAGAAAGGAACTAACTCATCATAGTCAGTTTTTTTCCACTGAGCATTTGTTGAGCTCTGATGCTTTTCAGGAGACTGGAGAACTAGTTTGAAAGTTCGTAAAAGCACAGTAGATCTCTCACATCTTACAGGGCTTAGGAAAGTAAGACGTGTTTTGGAGAATATTTGCCTCAAGCATAACAATTTTCTTTCCCTTGAGTTATATGCTAGATTTTGAACTTCTTGGAACAGAAGGAGATCTTGGTTTGTAATCCCTGAAGGACAGAGCTATATCTGTCATGATATTTTAGGGATAGAGAGACAGTGACCCATTTCACTGGGAGAGTAATGCCTTAACAGTAAGGGTAAAATTGAGATGGGCTAACTTTCACTAAAAATGCAATATAGCCTAATCCAACACAGTTTCTGATTGCTTTAGATAATAAGATTAAAAAGAGACTAAGTCTGGTGAAAAATTAGATCTTCTGGAACTATTTTTTTCACTATTTTCAACATATAATAATTTTAAATAAGGCGTATGAAAAAAGAAAAAGAATACCTAATAACCAAAAGTAAAAGCAGATAATGATTGTAGAACAGATAGTCCAGTTATTGAAATCAACAGATAATATATTTGAAATAACTATGATAAATGTATTAAAGAAAATAGAGGAAAAAATAGGACAAAAGTAGACAGCAGGATGTAGACTTACAAAAGACAATAGAAATTTATTTTAAAAATAAGAAAATGAACATTTCAGACTGAAAAAATATAAAATTAAGAACTCAGTGGATTGATTTAACAACAAATGTAAGATTAGTAAACTCTAAAACAGGGCAATATAAAAATAAATAAAACACAAAAGTATTTTAATAAATGAAAAGAATAGAGCATAAGAGATAGGTGGGTTACACCAAATGATTTAACTTGTGTTTGATTTGGAATAAGACGAGAGAAATGATTTGGCAAAAACAATATTTGAAGAGATAATGGTTGAGAATTTTTAAAACTGATGAAGTATATCAACACTCAGATTCAAGATATTAGCAAAACCCAAACTCAACAAAAGCCATACCTAGGCACATAATAGTCAACCTGTTAGCAATCTAGGGAAAAAGTTCAAAGAAGGTTTATTATTTGATTATTTGTTTATTATTGACTAATTATTACCAATTCTGAGAGTGTTGTCAAACTTTAGATGCTCTAAAACTTTTCCCCCTCAATTAGATTTTTCCTTATTTTGATATGCATCGTCTCCCTAATATAATTTGAAGTCTACAAGACACTGCAATAATTATTTTGTTCAGTCACTAGTTTTTTTTTACTTACATAATATTAAATTCCTCTGATATTCTTTATTTTTTTCCAGAATACTCGTATTTCTGTCTGTAAGCTTTTCTTTTGTTAGAAGAGCTACATTTACATTTTCCTTTAAGTGCAGGGCTTCAGTACTCACTCATGGCCAATCTTGTTTCATTTCTACTCTCGTATCCAAAGCCCTCCCCTTTAGATTATTTTAGTGTAATTCCAGGCATTGTATTATTTCATCTACAAATATTCCATTTATGTGTTTCTAAGAGATGCTTTTGTTATTTATTCCATTTCTTTTATATATGTAATTTATACTATTCTATCATTTTCTCATATTGTTAGAGGTATATAAGAAAATAAAGCAGTTATTGTCATTGTATCAAAAATATAAACTGGGCATAAATTGTATAAAAGTATTATAATACTATATAAATCTCTTATTTCTGTTTGTTATTTTTGGAATTGTGATTCCATGTAGATTAAAGATATTCATGGCCGGGCATGGTGGCTCACGCCCATAATTCTAGTAATTTGGGAGGCCAAGGCAGGCGGATCACAGGGTCAGGAGTTCGAGTCCAGCCTGGCCAACATAGTGAAACTCTGTCTCTACTAAAAATACAAATATTAGCTGGGCATGGTGTTGCGTGCCTGTGGTCCCAGCTTCAGGAGGCTGAGGCAGGACACTCGCTTGAACCTGGGATGCGGAGGTTGTGGTAAGCCGAGATCATGCCACTGCACTCCAGCCTGGGCAACAGAATGAGACTCCATCTAAAAAAAAAAAAAAATTCATTTTAATTGTGACTAAGATAAGAAAGCCTATTTTTTGTTGTTGTTCCTTAAGTATAAAGCATCAAGATTATATTCAAAATCATGTATGAAGTATAAATATCAATTGATGACCTCATCTTTAAGAACTTCAGTAGCAATAATGTTCAATGTTAATTATAAATCCACAGTATGAAACAACTCATTAAAAATACTATGTTCCTGCAGATACTGTGATTATTATGTCATATAATTGGATTACAAATCAAAATCTATAGGACAAAGTCACTTAATTCTCACAAAAATGTAACATTTAATTATCTAATCTCATAGAAAATAGATGTATTAAATATAATATTTTGAGATTTAGAAACATGCTTTTTTAATTTTCAGGGATTTCATAAGCTTCTTGTTAAACATAACCATTGTTATAAATCAATTTGTATAAATTTATAATTAAGCAAATTATAAACAAAGAATATATAATCAAGACACAACATTTTCTATTTTTTAACTATATTTTTATTATTATGTGTGCTCAAGTTCTGTATGTAGTGTGTGTATGGTAGCAATATCATATTATTGGTGCTTTTATACATTTCTTCTAGTCTTTATTCAGTAGTGTTGCTTTAGTAGATAGTTTAAATTCTACCATCATGGAAATATTTACACCACAGAAATCAGCAAACAGCAAGTGATGATTATTATTTCCCCAAAGAGTTGGCTATTAAACACTAACCAACATACCACTGATAAAATGAGACTAAAATATTATTATTCATACCATTTTATATATTTATCATGTGCAACATGTTTTAATTTATGTATATATTGTGGAATTGCTCAATTGTGTTAAATAACATATGCATTACCTCACATTATTTTTGTGGTGAGAACACGTAAAATCTATTCTCAGTGATGTTCAAGAATATAATATATTGTTATTAATTATAGTCACCATTTTGAACTAAAAATATAATTATGATCTCTACCATTTCCATGGGAGGGTAATTCAGGAGGAGATTAGTTCAGTGGTTCTGACTTAAAGTCTGTCATGAGGTTGCTGTCAAGATTTAGAACAGAGCTTTAGCCATCTGAAAGCTTGACTGAGAGGAGAGGATCTTCTGCCAAGGCGGCTCACTCACATGGCTGACAAGTCAGTGCTGGTTGTTGATGGGAGACGTCATTTCCTTTCAGTGTAGGTCTCTCTATGAGCTGATTGAATGTTCTCATGACATATCAGCAGTGCGTCAAAGAGAATTAGTCAAGTGGAAGCTATACATACTGTGAAGTGACCTTAAAAGTCATACAGCTTTACTTATGCCATATTCTATTCATTAGGTGCTAGGCAGTAAATTTAACCTGCATGCAAATGGAGAGGAATTAAGCTTCACCTTTTGAAAAAAAGGAGTGGCAAAAACTCTTATACATGTTATGAAACCATTAAATTTTATAAGGCAGTATAGGTCCCACCACACTAGGATGTGGTCACTGACCACATTTCAGATTTTAGTATGACAAAATACTACAATCTAAGAAAAGCTTAAAATTAATGCTAATGTGTATTTAATAATTAATTTTAAATATCCCAGTTAAGCAACATTTTACTTTCTGTTTTACATTGTCTTGGGCCAAGGATTTTTCCTGTATGTAAAAGTGTCTGAAATTATAAGTTACTGAGAATATACTGGCCTACATAAACTGATTTTATTTTTAAAAATGCTGAAAATATTTCTGTATGCTATTGTTACTTTCTGCCCATCATGGGAAATGTAATTTGGTCTTTTTTCAGTTCTGCTTAATGAATTGCCTCAAGAAAATCTCCTTTAATATTAATCATAATTACACAACTGGAGATATAAAACACTAAATTTGCTAAATTATCAATATAGCATTTTTTACTACATCATTTTAATATACTTTTTTAAATCTTTATAGAATATATCCAATTTATATTTTTCTGTTAGCATTGATTTTACTTATTTTTATGCCTTTTATCCTATTACCTAGAAAAGTTGGCCAATTTGTACTGTAGTCTATTTCCTTTGAATTGGATTAGTAACTAAAATGCTAACAGATTTTTTTAATCAATTAATTGCTTAAATTTTTTACTTTACTTTTGTAAAGACTTTAAATAAATATATTGAAAGTTTTTAAGAAACTTCTGCATACTAACAGAAATCCCTAGATGAGACTTAATTTGGGTTTTCTTTGAGCACTGTTCTGCTCTTTAACAAAAATTTATCAGACTAATTAAGATTGGATAGATTGGTCTATAGGTTTTATTAAAGATTGAGTTTGACATAGTACACAAATGGAAGGGTGAAATTTGGCTTTCTCTCTTGAACAAGATATTCATGTAATATTAAAGACTAATGAAAGATTTTTGTTTGCCTTTTGAGTAAACTACAGGAAAAAGAAGGGAAAGACAAGAGAGAGATTGTTTGGAAAGTTAAGTCTTCCCTCTATCAACGAGTAAAATAATTTGCCTTTTTAAAATTCTTGAGTCATCATTTTGGGTAAATGAATGACTTATGGTGACTTGGAGTTCTATTTCATAATATCAAGTGTTTTAAACCTTTAACATATTTGATAGGCCTCCCCAAATCAAATTTTAGCTTCAAAATTATCTTTTCCAACCTCTAAATTTGGGATGCTACAGAGGGCCCCTGAAGCATCCAAAAAAGAGGTTATATCTTGGTGAATGATATCAATATATGTTCCAAACTTGTATGGGATTTCCATAATTCTAATATTTCTGAGTATATGCTATTAATCATAGTTGTGGTTGTTATGTTATTTTAGACCACAAAATAATCAAATTTACATGTCAGTTGTGGCTTTATGACTATTTAAAGTCATTTTCATTGTTAATTGCTTAATGTTGATGCAGTTTCTGAAAACTGCACAAGCATACACAAATTCTAGAATATGGTGTATTTTAGGAGGTTCATGAAAGGATGGAAAGGACCGTGAAAAGCACTCTTGAATAGAGGTTTCTGAAAACTGTGGAATCATATGTTTTGGACTGAGTAAGAATTCCTGGAACTTTAATGAAAAGGCTGACTAGTTTTAAAAAGTAATGGCAAAAACCACAATTACTTTTGCACCAATCTAATAAAACTGCTAATCAAAGTAGAACAAAAATTAATTAAATACCAAGAAAATACTTTTCCAGATTTTCACGCTATATTGGCCAATACTGAAATTGTTTAGATATACAGTTTGAATAAATTTCATGGTCTAAGTCGAATTACCTATGATAACCCATCAGTTATCAGTGCTATGCATCTTAATTGGAGAAACAACTGGTATTAAGCATGGACTCATGGAGAACCACGATGGCTCCCTTGTCTTTCCTGAGTCCTTAAAGCTTTTGTTATTAAAAGTTCTGCATTCCATGACTCAGCATGGAAATGATAAAATGATCCAAAGTAAATATATTTTGTTGTGGTGTTTTCTAAATTGCTAAAATAGTTTATGACCAATGTTTGGTTTGTCAAACCCATATTCCATGGAAGACAATCAAAGTTTCAGTACATTAGGCTACCTGATGGACATTTAAACATTTATAGAGGAATTTCGTTCAATTGTCATTTTCAGTGCATGTTTTCTGGTTGTATAAAAGCTTTCCCATGAAAGAAGGCTGATGTTATAACAGTAAATTATTATGCCACAATGTATTCTCACCAGGTAAAGAAAACTTTTTATGGTTAACTGACTGAAGACAACCCCTTTACAACCTAGAACCCAAAGATTGGATATTCTCCGAACATTAGAGAAAGGCTGCCCTTGCCATTCAAACTGCAGCAAAACTTTGGGACCTTGGACTTTTGTTTCCCTCCACACTCTAGAAACTACACCCATTTGATCCCTTAAGGTAAAGCTAACCAGGGAAGTTTCTCTCCAGCAGAAGACGGCATCCTTGATGTGAACAGCTTTTTCCAAGATCATGGATCAAGACTTCTCTACTATTACGAGACTGTTATCTTTGAATATTTTTTCCCTGGATTATGCCTCTATAAACAATAGAAGTGAAAAGGGGGTCTGTTGTGTGCACTCATGGCATATACGTTTATTTTTGAAGGATTTTGCAGCCAGCCTTAAACATAGATAATCTTATACCTTGATATAACCCATATACATGGATAATCTTATACCTTGATAGATGTAAGATGAAAGATGAAGGCCATCTTCATCTATTTTAATGGTATGTACATTGCCTCCTAATCAGGCAGAAACAGAACATTGGTTCACTCCTCTTAACCCACATCATGGATTAAAGATAGCATTGCCAGGAAACCTTCACTCTTCTAGAAGGGCATCATTTGTTAGATTCCTTTTTCCATGGTTTGGTGTAAAAGATGCAATAATTAGAAATATATCTCTCATAATAGGCTCTATAGCAGATTCTACTGTAAAGACTATGCATGAGAGAGTTTAAATTCTCTTGTGAAAGTTATGCTAAATAACAATTGCTTTAGATTACTTACTGGCTAAACAGAAGTAACTGTGCAGCTGCTGGCACTTGTGGCCTATACAGAAATACACCAAATGTAAATTATAGACATTCAGTTATGGGGGATTAATGAAGAGACTGCTTTGTTAAGCGAGTAGACTCTTTATCTAGCTTATTCTTTGATCTATTTAATTTTAGATAGTTTGGTTTATTGGGTATCTGGGTAAGAGCATACTTCAAACTTTTGGTATTATCCTCCTGATAGTCATAAAAGTAGTCTGCCTGGTGCACATTATTCTCTCAAATGTTTTAAATGTTTGCATGCAGCCATGTCTAGAATATCAAATAGTCTCTCTTAAACTGGAGAATGGCAAGAGCTGAACGGAATGTGTAACCATCAGGGCATCATAACCTATGAATGACCTACTGAGACCAGAAACTTAAACTGATTATAACTGAGAATGACGTTAAGGCTCTAAATTTTGGTCAGACTCTCACCTAAGTGAGAACCTGACCAAAAAGTGTTTTTTTTTGTTTTTTTTTTTAAACAAAATTATGGGAGGCCATTGTTTGGGACTGAACTCATGCACTAGGCCCCAACAGACCAGATCAAATCGAAATAGAGTCACTTGTATTAAATGTGACATAATCAAACTAAGAATTTAAGGAAACATAGACCAGATTTTCTTTTTTCTCTTGTAAACAAGACATTCCAGCATAAGGAGGCACCCTCTACTGTAACCCTTAAAATAATAATAATAAAAATAACTTAAAGTCCTTGTTCCCAACTTGCAAAACCCACTGTTCTATTGTTTGCCAATGGGTTTCAAGACCAAATAAGTACTTATGATGGTGATATGGACATCAATGACTAGAGTTTTGGTTACTCTCTCAATATTGAGAAGATGACAAAAGTGGGGAATTTTTAAATCAAGTTTAGCTTAAAGCTGCCTTCCCACATATTTTAAGTTCATCCTAAAAGTTTTTTGTACATCCTGAACTATAACAAGTGTAGGTTTAAACAGACTGTAGCCTACACTTGTGCCAGTCACCAAGTTTTGGTCAATCAAATGTAGCAAACTGTTTGAACTGTATTCAAATAAGGCAAACATTGATCTGTAACCAATCCAGCTGTTTCTTTACCTGACTTCTGTTTTTTGTATGTCATTTTCCTTTTTCTGTCCATAAATCTTCTTCCACCACGTGGCTGCACTGGAGTCTCAGAGCCTATTCTGGCTCAGGAGGCTGCCCGATTCACAACTCACTCATTGCTCTATTCAACTTCTTTAAATTTAGTTCATCTGAAGTTTTACTTTTTTTTTTTTTTTGGAGATGGAGTTTCACTCTTGTCACCCAGGCTGGAGTGCAGTGGCGCTATTTCTGCTCACTGCACCCTCCACCTCCAGGGTTCAAGCGATTCTCCTGCCTCACCCTCCTGAGTGGCTGGGATACAGGCATGTGCCACCATGCCTAGCTAATTTTGTATTTTTAGTAGGTTTCACCATGTTAGCCAGGCTGGTCTCGAATTCCTGACCTCAGGTGATCCGCCAGTCTCGCCCTCCCAAAGTGCTGGGATTACAGGTGTGAGTCACCACCATGCGTGGCCTTAAGTTTTTCTTTTATCAAATACATCCCATTCTGAAAAAAAAAAAAAAAAAGATTTACAAATTGCTTATATTTTGTTTCCCACCACTTTTCCTTAGATTATTAATGTGACATTTGTATAGATTCCTTCTTTGTAACATAAAATATGAATGTTTATTATAACTTCAGTTACCCCTTCCTGACAGAAATTTTGTATCTTTGAAAAATAATTTTTGCAATTTAGTTTTCATCAACTCACTAAGAGCTCCATCTGTTTTCTTGGTTACATTGTACATATTTCAAAAAAATTATATTCTATTTGAAAATACATTTTATAGTACATTCCCTATATACTACTTTTGGTATTGGATTATTCAACATGGCACACAGAAACACTAGCCCTAATTATATATAGATATGACTATATGCCAATGTTATTTTAAAGGACATGCATGGTGGTTAGAGTAACATTTGTGGAAATATTTTTAAGATTATAATATGAATATATTATTTGTCTAGTATTGTGCTAAGTATGAAGAAATATCAGATATGACTCTACATTCCAGAGAAATTAGATAGTGTGAAACATAAGAAATATTTGACACTGTATAGACAAGGTTTATTTTTTTAAAGTTCCATAGTGGGCTTTATTTTTGTGGGTTACATGGATTCATTTATAAGTCTTACAAGCATCATGGACACCTGGCATTTTGAAATGTCTTTCAGATTAATTTTTTTTAAATTACCAGTATGGCTACTACTGTCTAGAACATATGAATTATAAAACCTATTCTATCAGTTCTCTCAAGTTCTATTTTCTTCTAACTCACTGAAAAGAAATCTGTCCCCAAGTCTATATTCATTATGCTCTAATATTTTTGAAATAAATATTGCAACAAATATACACAAAACCCTCTGTTTAGTTTTTCATATCTATTGTTATTTAGTGCTACCCTACCACCCTACTCTCTCTACTGTCTAACATTTTTCTTCTATTGTATCTAATTCTTAATTTTTATTCTAAATGTACTCATTATTACAGTTATCTATAGTGATCATTTCTGTCTTGTTGACTAACTTCAAATGCCTACACTATTTATAAGTCCTTCTTTTTCACTATTTTATGATTATGTTTCAAGGCTTAGAACACATTCTATGACAAAGCATTAAAATATTAAAGGAACATATTTGACTAACAATTCAAGATAATAGAAAATACATCAACAGAAGCACACAATAACTGCCAACTCAGTAATTTCTAAATGATTCAGGACAGGGAGAGATTACTTTCCAAAAAAAAAAAAAAAGGTGTCATTTGTTAACAGTCCTTGATTTAGCACTTCTTGGCCCATTGGGCACTTTTTTTGGCCAGTTAATCATGAGAGGGAGTGAACATATGTCACTTAGTGAAGGCTTCAAGACTTTGTTCTGCTTAGGCATTTCTGTAATAAACTACCCCAAAATGTAGCAGCTTAAAAGCTTTTATTATAATTCCTAATTGCAGGTCAAGAATTCAAACAGAGATCAGGTGGGAAATCCTTTAGTAGTTTTTAGCTGGCAATAGGTATGGTTGGAGGGTGTAACATGGCTTCATTTACATATCTGGCTACTTGGCAGAGATGGTTGAAGGGCTCAGATGTAATACATGGCAAGGCTGTTACTCAAAGCTCCTATAGATGACCTTTGAAGCATAGCAGTATCATAATAGCTGGAATTCTTACATGGTGTATCAGAGGTTCCTGAGGGATGGTTCTAAGACATCAAGTTTTAGGGCATCTTCTAATCTTGACTTGGAAGTCATACATGTTCAGTTTTGCAATATTCTATTTATCAGGTAAGTTACTAAAGCCAACCCGAATTCAAAGAAAGGGAGCTAAACTCCATCTTTTAATTAAAGTAATAAGAAAAAGATTTCAACTATCTTTAATCTGCCACAGAGTGATTGCATGATTCATCATATTCTATTTATTCAGCTCTTGTGATTATGAAAGCACGTGTTAAGAGTAAGCTTTCATTTGCCTAGGTTCCTAACTATCTACATTGAGAAGATAGCTCTAGCAACTGAGATTGGAAATGTACTATGAATGAGAAACTTCCATATTGTTAAGTCACAAATTTGAGAGGTAATTGGTAACTGCAGCATGGTTAGGTCATCATAAATGCCAATAAGTATTTTTAATGGATCTGGACAGCTAGACAGTGTTAAAAAAGTCAGGCTTTGAAGTCACTCAGAGCTGGGCTCAGTCACGCCTTTACTGAATGACCTTTGGTGAGTGAGCACTGGAAGAAAATAATAGAGGGTGTCTTTAGGAGGAAATTGCTTGAGTGGAGGAAGTTCTACAGGATATTAAGTAAACCATTTGACAGGAATAGAAGCTTCTGAAAGTTGATAACTAGTGATAAATATCTGGAATGTAAAATGAGGTCAACTTTTTTCAATTTGAAAACATCAAATTTTAGCTCCAAGCAATAGATAATTCATTAGTCTGTTCATTATAAGAATGTAAGAGGACTGAAGTAATGTTCTAGTCGACCATCAGGTAAGTAACTTACAGGGTGAAGACTAAACGCAAGTAACTCAGTCATTTCAGTGGCAATTACACCTGCAATAGAAAATGCCTCCTTTCTCTCCTTTCAATAACCAATAAACACATAGAGAATTCTTTATCATTTAACACGTTTGTTTCTACTCACAGTTTTGTCTTCTGTGCATATTTACATATATTTTCAAAATGTGGATTGCCTTAGACTTCTTTTTTATCCTCCACAGATCTGACACAATGATAGGCACATACTAGGCCACCTAGAAAAACAATTTTAATAACACAAATTACAGAATGTTATATCTATTTTATCTGGAATAGATAAAATTATCAAAATAGACTGTGACTAATATCTAGGATCTGTTAGTCGAAATCACTTCTCTGGAAAATTGTGAATAAACTTTTGTTCTCTTTTAAGAACAGAAATGCATGAGACATTAAAACATGAGGTTTTAGGCTAAAACAGATAGAAAAAGGTTTAGACATTTTTTAGAAAAGAAAAGACAATATTTTAGTTTTGTTTAAATGGACTTTCAGAATATGCAGAGACATACAAAGAGAATTTAAGAATTGAGGCAATTTTGTGGTTTGAGGCTTGAATTATCTGGATAATTGCTTCAATTTTCCACCTCACTACACATGGGAACACACACTGAACACACACATCCTCACACATTGGAAAACATTAGTTTTTCTTTTTTATTGATGGGGGAAAAATAAACTAAAAGGTAAAATCTTAATATTATTAAAAGGTAAAATCTTAATATTATTAACATTATGAATACACTTTAATCTGCATGTTTTATTGATAAGTTTTAGGTAGATGTTCTAAACCTATTCAAATTCAGAATTTTGAATTCAAGGCAATATTTGCTCTTAAAAAACAAATGGTTTTAAGCCCTGCAATCTTCATTTCTGAATTGAAATGGAAATGGAGCACTGCATTGTGCAGGGAGGTGAAGGAATGCTCATAGTTCATTAAATAATGTGAGTAGTAATGAGGTTTACACAAATCAAACAGTGTGTTAGGTAATTGTAATGTTGCTTTGTGGTGAACCACCTGTCAGGAAGTACTTCCAGCCGAAGGCTCAATCTGCTCTTGTGCCTCCAGACGATTTCTAATTAGTGTAAACTTCATCTGTGGCAGGCTACCAGAAAATAGAGAAAAAGTTATTTGTACACCTCTTTCTTTCTCTGGGATGAAGGAAAATAATTGGTTTATTTCAAGTACGTACTTTAATTTTTTAAGAAGGCATTTTATATGCAGGCTCTGCAAAAGAAAATATATGCATATACTCAGCCACTAGAAACACAGACACTCACTTAAAATAATAATGTTCCAGAATAGATCGGTACCACCAAATCCTTTCTTTACCTTGACCCAGAGGGAAAAAGAAGTTTTAAATCAGAGAGATAGAAGTAAAGGAGGTGGTGGAGAAGGGGGGAGGGAGAGTAGGAGAGAGGGAGGAAGAGAGGGAGGTATAGGTAAAGGAGAAGGAAGCAAGGAAGGAAGGAAAGGGGAAGGTAAGGAGACTAGTAAGAATAAGAATGGAGATGAGATTTCAATCTATATCATTTCTAATATTTTGAAAATCCTCAATATCAAATAGGTATATTTGATATTAAATAGAAAATGTAAAGCTTCTGTAAAGTGACTTACATATATATTTGTGTAGAAAAAAGTATAAATGAGGGAGTATATTCCCAAGAAACAACAAAATACCCACAGTTAGAATTTACAAAATTTACATTAAATGATTTATATTACGTAAAAGAATCACAAAATTTTATATTGTATTTCCTAACTAGATACTTTTAGAAAAACCAACAACTTTTCAACTAAAAACCTTTAGTACAATAAATAGGATTAGACACTTAGGCTGATTATTCTACACTTAACTGCATTAACATAGATCTCATGATTTGAGTCTTAAAGGAAAAGAAGCTTAGTGATTAAATGGCTTGGCCTTTGCTGTTAAAAAGTCTTGATTTCACATCAGAGCCCGGCAATTTATTTGTTATGTTTATTTAGGTAAGGTCATGGAACTTTCTCAGAATCAACTTTCTAATTTGAATAGTAAGAATGATAATCACTGATTCATAGATTGTGTGGATTAAAAGAGTTTGAATAAAATGCAGTATTCCATTTTTCCACCCTCAAGATGATCTTACTTTTAGTTAATTAGCATCCTCAAATTTCCAAGGTCCTTGTTTTTAGGTTTATATATTTTATTTCACTCCATCAATATTAAAACACATTGGAATTTTCAGACTTACTTTTCTAACCAATTCAAGTTTCTTGTCCAGCTTTGTCAACAGATGTAGGGCTTCAGTCTTTGGCTTTTCTCCACTGAAAGTAGCAGCCATTGCCCCTAGACACCCTTTCTTATATTTTCTCTTTTTCCTCTCTTCTACTTTATCATCTCCTTATAGGCCCCAACCTACACGACTTGCCTCCTCCTTTCTCTCTCCATCATGGTTTATCATGCAAATTTGGGTTTAAGTCTATCACTAAATGTATAATGATTATTCCATAGCACCAGATGGAGTATCATTTGGACTTAAGAATGGAAAGAAAGAAGACTTCAATAGATCTATAAATCTAGCCTTAGAATAAAGCATCTCATAATTCATCTGACCATTTTGCACTGTCATCTGATCATTTTACACTGATAGTAGCCTATTGATACAATTTTATTCAGTGAGTTAGGATGAAAATACCATTTGTATTTCTTTAGTATGGGTAGGTCCTAGTATTCAGGATAAATGAATGGCATTTTTCATAGCTGTATATGTAAGTCAATTAAGTGCCAAGTCATATATATTCAAAATATGCTGATGCTGATGCAGAAAAGGAAGAAGTAGAGGAGCAGGAGGAGGAGGAGGAGCAGGAAGTAGAGGAGGAAGAATATGGAGAGAAGAAGAAAACTCTTTTTCTCTGTAAGACACTGATGACCCTAATTCTTTTCAGCTATGAAGAGAAAAAAGTATCTAGTAATGAGAACATAGTTTTGAGGAATGCTATTATTTTCCTATTATTTGAACACAGTGATGCTCCACTTACACTTGAAAAGAGGAAGATATGTGCAGATGAACCTTCACTTTATGCCAGATACTTTCAGCTGTTTCTCCCAACAATCACGGGAAATTACAGGCTATCAGTGTTAATTTGCAACTTATGGGGCCCCTTCAACAGGGGCTCCCTTCCCCTCACGGCAACTCCTTAAGATTGGCCTATAGTCATTATTGACTTGAGACTGCTTTTGTACTATTCCCCTTGCAGAACAGGACAGAGAAAAGTTTGCGTTCACAATACCAGCTATCAATAATGAAAGGTCAGCTCTCCAATTTCATTGGAAAGTACTTCCTCAAGGAATGCTGAACAGTCCTACCATCTGTCAGTATCATGAAAATCAGGCTTTGCTCCCCAGTAGAAAAGAATTTCATAATTGCAAGATTATTCATTTTATGGATGATATTTTACTAGCAGCCCCAACGGAGCCAGCACTTTTAAGTTTATATGCCTTTGTCATAAAGAATGCTCAGTTAGGAGGTTTAATCATAGTACCTGAAAAAGTACGATTGTCCTCTCCTTGGAAATATCTTGGATACATATTAACTTCCCGGTCAATAAGACCTCAAAAGGTTAAATTAAATGCTAGCAACTTATACACCTTAAATGATTATCAAAAATTACTGGGTGATATTATTTGGCTTTGCCCCACCCTGGACATAACTACTGATAAGTTACAAAACCTGTTTTCTATCTTAAAGGGCAATACAGCCCTAGACTCTCCCAGGTGTTTAACTCCTGCAGCAACAAGGGAAATTGAGGAAATAGAGCAAGCTATTTCTCAGAGGCAACTAGATTGCATAGACCCACAATATTCGGTCCAATTATTTGTTTTTCCTACTAAACATTCTCAAACAGGATTAATAGGACAGATGGCCCCAGGGCTGTGCTTTCTAGAATGGGTTTTTTTCTCACATACCAGGACTAAAACACTATCTCCCTATATACAACTAGTTAGTAAAGTCATCTATACAGGCTGCAGATGATGCAATCAGTTGCTGGGTTATGACCCTGAGGTCATAAGAATTCCTTTGAGTAAAAAGCAATTTGAAGCAGTATTGTTCCTATCTCTAGAACTTCAGAGAGCACCCTGTGATTATGCAGGCCATATACAGCATGGCCTTCCTGCTGAAAAACTACTTCAGTTCTTATCTCGTACTCCTGTAGCTGTGCCTACAAAACTAGTTCACTCTCTCATACCTAACGCTTTAATGTTTTTTATTGAGCGCTCTGGTAAAAATGGAAAAGCAGCTATTTGGTAGAGACCGCATAATTCCCTCACTCATTCTGGATTTACTAGCACCCAGAGAGCTGAGGTTGGAGCCTTAATATTGGCCCTGGAGACCTTTCCCACTCAACCCATCAATATTGTTCATGACTATGCTTACTCTGTTTATTGCAGAATCTTGAAACAGCCCTCATTAAGTCTACTCTCGAGCCCACCCTGTGTGTACTTTTTCTTCAACTTCAGCAATTGCTGGATCAATGTACAAATCCTATTTTTATCACACATATTTGAGTCCACAGCTCACTGCCTGGCCCATTGGCTTATGGCAATGATCAAACAGACCTGCAAGTTACGACGTCACTGCTTGACCAAGAGACCCAATCACATCAATTTTTCTACCAAAATTGGAGAAATTTAACAATTTAAACTTACCCAAAAACTAGCTAAACAAATTATCCTGCAATGCCCATATTGCCAGCTCACAGGCATGTCCCCTTCTTCAACAGGTGTTAACCCTAGAGGACTGGAACCTAATCAGTTATGGCAAACAGATGTTACACACGTCCCTGAATTTGGAAAACTAAGATAGGTACATGTATCCGTTGATGCCAATTCTCACCTAATTAGCACACATGCTCTTTCTGGAGAGTCCACCTGATATGTTATTAAACATCTTCTCTTTTATGTTTATGGGGCAGCCCACAAAAATTAAAACTTATAATGGTCTGGCTTATGCTAGCTCATGATTTCAACAATTTTGTCACATGTGGAACATCTAACATTCCACAGGCATCCCAGATAACCCCCAAGGACAGGCCATAATAGAGCATGTCCATTCCATTCTTAAAAATATGCTCAGGAAACAAAAAAGGGGGAATATGATTAAGGACCCTGCAACACTACTAGCGCAAGCCTTGTTTACCCTTAATTTCTTAAATTTAAATGATAAATTTCAATCAGCTATAGAAAAGTACTTTGCTAAAACCTTTCAAGACATAAAACCCACAGTTTTATGAAAAGATGTAAATAATATTGTTTGATGTGGTCTAAATGAATTGCTAACATGGGGAAGAGGATATGCTTGTGTTCACACCCCCTCAGGTCTTTTCTGGATTCTAGCATGATGAATCAAACCATACCATGGCATGACCAGGATCCAACCTGGTACTAGAAATATAGGAAATGACCCTGCAAGACCTGCAGCCCTGGACAATGCAGCTTTTTGAGACAACACAAGCCTCGGACATTACCTGGGTGATGCTGAAGAACACAACTCAGGAGACTGAGAGAATTCTGCTCCGGACAGACACCATTCACTCCAGATATTTTGTTCCTTGCTATGCTCTCTGTTGTACATTGCATCTCACATAGGGTATTGATCATTTTTATGCTCTGTTCTTGCCTGCAACACGTACCTGCTACACTCTATTGGGCTCATCTGTTAGATCTGCCTTTCCTCTGCCCTGTTACTTGATCAGACACCCCCTTCCCAGCCTATAACAATGTAACTGCTTGGCTAGGAGAGATTGACTTACCCCCAGTGGGGTCCCTCATTAATGGCACACATTGGACTAAGGTACCAGCTAACACTATATATCACTCTACCATCCTCCCACTGTGTGTAAGTTATAAAAGTTCTAACCCTTATGTGTACCTGCCCAAACACAGTTGTGGCTACATCATTGAAAAGGAAATCCCTTAAAATTCTTGTTTGCAGGTAGCTTCAAACTGGTCAACACAACCAATGCCACTTTCTCAAACATTCCCTCCTGTGCTAAAGAGCATAGCCAGGAAAGTAATGGGTTCCACTTTGGCTGGAAGGTCTGTCATGGGGGACGAGCCCATAGCCTCTAGTCAGGCAATTATAACATCTTAGACTGTAGCCCCCACTGCCATTTGCAGGGCGGCCATACTCATGTCTGCATCCATCGTGGCATCAATCAGTCTAATAGCCACATCCCATTCCCCTGTGATTTGTGAATGGGATATCCCAGACCCCACGTAGAGTCCATGCCACCCCAAGACACTTTATGGCGCCTAGGACATCTTAGCACCTCCCTTAACACCTCGCATGGGACATATCATAATTCCAGCCAGTAGCAACTATACTATGACTGTTTTTCATAATCACATAGGTCAGTGCCTGATTTGCACTACCCATCCTTATGTCTTCCTTATGGGAACGAATATTTCTATTACACCCCACAACTCCATATTTATGACCTGAGTGCAACAGGCTTGGTTTGCCTCATGTATCCCTAATTACAATATATGTAATTTAAGTGTTACTAGTGCCATGGAATTAAGGAGACAATCTGAGACATTCCTTCCAGTCAATTTGACATGCGATTGGCAAGGCTCTTCTGCTCTTGCCACCTTAGAACGTGCCTGTCCCAGGTCAGACACAAAAGATGCATAGGCACACTTATAGCCTTTATAGTCTCAGCTATAGTCATCATAGCAACGGCTAGTGTTGCTGTGGCCTCTATTACTGAATCAGTACGAACAGCTACCTTTGTAGACAACTTGGCCAGAGATGTGTCTAATGAACTTCTCTTACAGCAGGGTATAGATAAAAAAATTATTGCACATTTGTAAGCCCTTGAGGCTGCCTTAGAATATGTAGGGGAGCAGCAAGATGCACTGATATTCCAACAGCAATTAAACTGTGACCAGGAGCATAAGCATATCTGTGTCACTTCTCTACCTTGGAATCAATCAATACATAGTAGGGATGAGGTGAAACAATACCTTTGGGGAATCTTACATGGTAATTTAACCACAGACTTAAAGCAACTTAAAATTCTAGAATCCCTAAATGCCATAGATCTAATGCCCAACAAATAGCCATATGGAAGAATGTGGGAGGACGTCTCTCCTGGATAGACCCCTACTCCTGGGGGTCACTCCTTGATTGGAAAAGAGTGTTACTGATTATACTCATGTTTGTCTTGTGTTATTTAATAATTCCAGGATACAGAGCCAGAACACGAGTTATAACAGCAGCACCTGACAAACCTGTTGCTGCACACATCTGTACTCTTCAATCAATAAAACCTGATGCAAAAAACAGAAAAGGGGGAGATGTAGGACATTGGTCAGGGTGGTGGGAAACGTTATAAGAAAAAGTTATAGGGAAAGGTGCAAACCTTACTGGAAGGCCAGGAGGTTTGGCAAAAGCTTCGGGAGAGAATTATGGCTGAAGGCAGCCAAATTCTCTTATCTGGAGGCTAAAAGCAAAGGGCAGATAACAAGGGAATGTAAAGGAATTTGTCTAGATAAATTTGTTTACTCCTGTCTCCAGAAACCAACTTTTGATCATTCCTGTGAGCTCTTTATTTGGGGGGTCGACAATGTTTATTACCCACAAATTGTGTTTGCTTCAAGCCTTTGTAATTAAATCTGTACTAAATAAATGTGAGCAGGGCTGGGTTATGGGGGTGGCACTCTTGCTGGCAGTTCGAAGACATTGTGGGCCCCTAGCCACGCTGTCGGGCAAAATACCTGTGTCAGTGTACTTCTTACATCCATTGCTCGGCTAGAGTCTGTGGGACAGACTTGGCAGACACTTAGGTTGATTCCATAGCATGGCTATTTTGAATATTGCAACAATATGGGAGTGCAAACATCCCATTGATATACTGATTTCTTTTTTTTGGTTATATACTCAGCAGTGGGATTGCTAGACAACATCATAGTTCTATTTTTAGTTTTTTGGGGGGACCTTTATACTGTTTTCCAAAGTGGCTGTACTAGTTTACATTTCTATTGGTAGTATACAAGAGTTCTACTTTCTTCCCATCCTCTGCAGCATCTATTATGTTTTTTGTTGTTGTTGTTTTGTTTGTTTGTTGTGTAATAGCCATTCTAACTGAGGTAAGGTGATATTCACTGTAGTTTTTATTTCTATTTCCCTGATGTTAGTGGTGAACATTTTTCCTTGCATGCTCTGGTCATTCGTATGTCTTCTTTTGAGAAGTGCCTAGATATTTTGCCCATTTTAATTGGATTTATATTTTTTTTTTGCTATGTGTTGTTTGAGATCTTTGTATACTTCGGGTATTAATCTCTTATTTGATGAATAGTCTATAAGTATTTGTGCTCATTATATAGGTTGACTCCTCATTTTGCAGATTTTTTTTTTTGGCTATGCAGAAACTTTTAAACTTAATCATATTTGTCTATTTCTACATTTGTTGCATGTAATTTACCCCAAAAATATTTGCCCACCCCAATATCCTGAAGCATTTTCCCAATATTTTCTTCCAGTAGTTTCATAGTTGCAGGTCCAATATTTAAGCCTGTAATCCATTTTGATTTGATTTTTGTGTAAGGTAAGAAATATGGTCTAGCTTCATTCTTCTGAAAATTAATATCTGGTTTCCCCAGCACCATTTATTGATGAAACTGTCCTTTCAACCAGTATGTTTTTGATGCTTTTGTTGAAAATGAGTTTAATATATATATATATACATAGATAGATTTATTTCTGGAGTTTCCATTTTATTCCATTGGTCTATGTGTCTGTTTTTATGCAGGTACCATGCTGTTTTGGCTGGTATGGCTTTGTAACATATTTTGAAGTCAGGTAATGGAATACCTCAAGCTTTGTTCTTTTTGTACATTATTACCTTGGCCATTTGGATTCCTTTAAGGTTCTATACAAATTTTTTGATTGTTTTTTCTATTTCTATAAAAAAAGTCACTGGTATTTTGATAGTGATTTTATTGACTCTGTAGATTGCTTTGGATACAATAGAGACTTTAATAATATTAACTTTCCAATACATTAGCATGGGCTATCTTTGTGTGTGTGTGTGTGTGTGTGTGTGTTTCAATTTATCTTATCAGTGTGTTATAGTTTCCTTGTAGAAATATTTTGCTTATTTGGTTAAATGTATTCATAGATAGTTTATATTTTTTTAGATATTGTAAATGTGATTGTGTTTTAAATTATTTTCAGATTGTTCACAGATAGCATATATAAATGCTACTAGCTTTTGTATGTTGACTTTGTATAGTAAAATTTACTGAATTCATTTATCAGTTCTAAGAGATTTTTGGTGGAGTCTAGGTTTTTCCAAATATACTATGGCGTTATGAGTAAAAAAGAATAATCTTAATTTTTTCTTTACAATTTGAGTGCCCTTTATTTCTTTCACTTGCCTAAGTGTCCTGGCCAGGACTTCCAAGATTATGTTGAATAAAAGTGGTGAAAGTGGGCATTCATTTCATTTTTCTTTTTCTAAGATATAAGAGGAAATGCTTTAAATTTTTCTCCATTCAGTAAGATGGTAGCTGCAGATATATTGCCTTTATCATTTTGAGGTATGTTCCTTCTATACTACAGCCGTTTTAATCCTGAAGAAATGTTTATTTCCATTAAATGCTTTTACGGCATCTATTGAAATCATATAGTTTGGTCCCTTGGTTCTGTTAATGTGATATATTACATTTATTGATTTGCATATGTTAAACCATCATAGCTTCCTTGCGGTGAATCATGTTAAATGGTCTTTTAATGTTTTTGAAGAGTTTGAGTAGAATTGGTATTAGTTCTTTTTAAATGTTTGATAGAATTCAGCACTGAAGCCATCAGGTCCTGGGTTTCTTCATGTTGTTGTTAGGAAACTTTTATTACTGCTTCTATTTTGTTACTCATTGTTCTGTTTGGGTTTTCTATTTCTCCATGGTTTTATCTTGGTATGTTTCATGTGTCTAAAGCTTTATCCATTTCTTCAAGATTTCACAATTTGTTGAATATATTTATTTATAATAGTATCTGTGATTTTATTTTCTTTTAATATCTGGGGTATCAGTTGCTATGTCTCTTTTTACCTTTCTGATTTTATTAATTTGTGTCTTCTCTTTTATTCTTAGTTTACCCAAAAGTTTCTTGATTGTGTTTATCTTTCAAACAATAAATTTTGTTTTATTGATCTTTTAATATTTTTAGTCTTGATTTTCTATATGTTTAGTCTGATCTTTATTATTTATTTCCTTCGATTAATTTTAGCATTGTTTTGTTCTTGCTTTTATAGTTTCTTGAGGTGCACCATTAAGTTGTTTATTTGAACATTTTCTACTTTTATGATGTAGGCATTTATTGCTATAAATTTCCCTGTTAGTATTCCTTTTGTTGTATCCCATAGATTTTTGGTATGTTGTATTTCCATTTTCATTTCTATCAAGAAATTTTTAAGTTTCTCTCTTAATTTCTTAATTGACCCATTCATTATTCGGGTCCATGTTGTTTAATTTGCATGTGTTTGTGTAGTTTCCACAGTTTCTTACTATTGATTGTTAATTGCATCCCATTGTTGTTAGATAAAATACTTAATATGATTTTGAGTTTTTTGAATTAATTAAAATTTGTTTTGTGGTCTTACAGTCTATCCTGAAGAATGTTTCATGTGCTTATGGAAAGTATTTGTATTCTGTAGCAGTTTAATTAAATGTTCTATAAATCTTAGTTACATCCATTTGGTGTAGAGTATGGCTTAACTACAATATTTATTGCTGAATTTCTATCTAGATGAGCTTCCTATTACTGAAAGTGGGGTGTTGAAATTCCCTATCATTATTTCATTGCAGTGTATCTCTCCCTTTAGATCTATTAATGTTTGTTTTGAATATATGGGTGCATTTTCATGGAATATCTTTTTCTACCTCTTAAGTTTTAGTCTATGTATATCTGTATAAGTGAAGTGAGTTCATTGCAGGCAGCATATAATTGTGTCATTGTTTTTTAAATGTCTCTCTTCTAATTGGAGAATTTAGACCATTTCCATTTAATGTTATTATTGACATGTAAAAACATACTACTCTCATTTTGTTGCTTGTTTTCTGTTTGTTTTATAACTCATCTTTTTTGTTTTTTTCTTACTGTATTCCTTTGTGGTTAAGTGATTTTTTCTGATGGTATGTTTTAAATTATTGCTTTTATTTTTTGTGTATCTGTTGTAGGTTTTAGCTTTGTTGTAACTATGAGTCTTACTAAAAGCACACATTTTGATGTTTTGTTGTCTTAATTTACATTTTTTATATTTTTTATATTGCCTATCTCTTAACAAGTTGATATATTTATTATTGTTTTTATTTGTCTTTTAGTCTTCATATTAGATATGTTAGTGGGTTACATATCACATTTAATGTTATAGATTATTCTGAAGTTGTCTGTGTCCTAACTTTTACTAGTACATTTTTTTTTTTTTTGCATGTTAGTTTTTGTTGTTGTTGTTGTTGTTGTTTTTCAGATTGAAGAAATCTCTTTAGCATTTCTTGTAAGATGGGTCTAGTCTAGTGGTAATAAGTTTCCTCAGAATTTTATTTTTTTTGGGGGGGTGGTCTGTGAAAATTTTTGTTTCTCATGTTTAAAGGATAGCTTTTTTATGTACTGTATTCTCCTTTGGAAGTCACTTTTCTTTACCACTTTGAATATATTTCTCCTGGCTGGTATGGTTTCTACTGAGAAGTCTGTTGCCAGAAGCATCAGAGGTCCTTTAACGTTATTTTCCTCTTTTTTCTTTATTGCTTTTAGGATCCTATTTTTGTCCTTGACCTTTGAGAGCTTGATTATTGTATAATTTGGAGTAGTAGTCTTATGTGGGTTGTATCTGCTTAGTGATCTCTGACCTTCCTTTTCTTGGATATTTCTATCTTTCTGTATGTTTGGAAACTTTTTTGTTAGTATTTCTTTTAATAAACTTTGTACTTCTTGCTCTTTCTCAGCTCTCTCTTAAATGCCAGTGACTCTTAGATTGACTTTTTTGAGGTTATTTTCTAGATTTTATAAGTATTCCTCAATATTTTTTATTTATTTTATTTTATTTTATTTTTCTGGACTCCGTATTTTTAAATAACGTGTTGTTGAGCTAACTGATTTTTGTTCTGCTTGATCCATTCTGCTCTTGAGAGCATCTCATACACTTTTTAGTTTAGAAATGAGATACCATCTTACACCAGTTTGAATGGCAATCATTAAAAAGTCAGGAAATAACAGGTGCTGGAGAGGATGTGGAGAAATAGGAACACTTTTACACTGTTGGTGGGACTGTAAATTAGTTCGACTATTGTGGAAGACAGTGTGGCAATTCCTCAAGGATCTAGAACTAGAAATACCATTTGACTCAGCCATCCCATTACTGGGTATATACCCAAAAGATTATAAATCATGCTACTATAAAGACACATGCACATGCATGTTTATTGTGGCACTATTAACAATAGCAAAGACTTCGAACCAACCCAAATGTCCAACAATGATGGACTGGATTAAGAAAATGTGTCACATATACACCATGGAATACTATGCAGCCATAAAAAAGGATGAGTTCATGTCCTTTGTAGGGACATGGATGAAGCTGGAAACCATCATTCTCAGCAAACTATCACAAGAACAAAAAAAAAAAAACACTTCATGTTTTCACTCATGGGTGGGAATTGAACAATGAGAACACTTGGACACAGGAAGGGGAACATCACACACTGGGGCCTTTTGTGGGGTGGGGGAAGGGGGAGGGATAGCATTAGGAGATATACCTAATGTAAATGACAAGTTAATGGGTGCAGCACACCAACATGGCACATGTATACATATGTAACAAACCTGCACTTTGTGCACATGTACCCTAGAACTTAAAGTATAATTAAAAAAAAAAAAACAGAAAGGCAATCAAAGTTTTAAAATGCATTTTGAAGTTAAGATGCCTGGTTACAGAAATGGACGGTGGTGATGGTTGCACAAAATGTGAACGTGCTTATGCCACTGAACATAATGACAATTTAAAATGGTTAAAATGGTAAATTTTATGGTATGTAGCGCTTACCACAATAAAATAAAAATTTTGAAAATTGAAAAAAAATTTCTCAGTTCCAGAATTTTTAAAATTTTAAGAATTTAAAAATTCTTTTTAAAAATTATTTCAATCTCTTATACATTTTTTGATAAGCTTCTGTATTTCTTTTTGTATTATCTTGAACTTCAGTGAGTTTCCTTAGAACTGCTGTTTGCAATTTTTTTCGAATTTAAACTTCCTCATCTCATTAGGGCCAGTCATTGGCTCCTTGCTTTGTCCCTTTGGCAAGATTATGTTTTCCTGCTTGCTGTTGTTTCTGGTGAGCATGCAGGTATGGTTTTGCATTTAAAGATTATTCCAGTCTTCGCTGACTTGTCTTGTTTTGGTCTTTCTAGGGTATGTTTGCATAGTGGTTCTTTGTAATGTGCCTGTTGAGTACACTTTATTCTAGATTGCTGCCTTCATTCTGGTGCATTGAGATGGGATTTGTCTCAGCTTTTGCATAGGTTTGGAGCATTGCTTATATTGGATGTGACAGGTCCCAAAAGGGATACCCAAACTGTATGGAAAACCTGGCTAAAAGTTTGTGTTCAGAAGATTCATGGAGCATGCCTTCTACAATGTGGTGCTGATAAATAGCCACTCAGATTTGGCATCTTCTTTGGCTGAGATAAACAGCAGAGCTTTGCAGGCTGGGATTGCTAGTTCACCTCCCTTTGTATCTCACTCTGCCTCCCAGTACTTTTTCTCCCTACAGGCACTTGTGATGCTATGCTTCCCATGGGTTGAGACAGGAATGATTTTCCGGCAAGAAAACACAACATGCTGGGAAAGCTGAGTGTCTGGCTTTATGTTATTTTTTCCAATGTGGACACCATGAGTCTGATGGAAGTTTTCCACATGTGGTGCCTGGTATATTGTTGGTGGGACTTGATGCATTAAAAAGTCTTACTTTCTTACTGCCTGCTCAGAGATTTTCACTTCTCTTTGGCTGTAGGGATTGTTTCAGCCTCAAATTTAACTTCTGGGATATTTCTGGTGTGTTAGCCAGAGTTTTCTAGAGGGACAGAACTAACTGAACACACACACACACACAAACACACACACACACATATATATATGAAGAGAAGTGTAGTAAGTATTAACTCACATGATCACAAGGTCCCACAGTAGGCCATCTGCTGGCTGAAGAGCAAGCAGAGCCAGTCTGAGTTCCAAAACTGAAGAACTTGGAGTCAGATGTTTGAAGGCAGGAAGCATCCAGCATGGGAAGAGGATGTAGGCTGGCACGCTAGGCCAGTCTCTCTTTTCACATTTTTCTGCCTGTTTATATTGGAGCCATGCTGGCAGCTGATTAGATTGTTCCCACCCAGATCAAGGGTGGGTCTGTCTTTCGCAGCCCACTGATTCATATGTTAATCTCCTTTGGCAATACCCTCACAGACACACCCAGGAACAATACTTTGTATCCTTCAATCTAATCAAGCTGACACTCATTATTAACCATCACAGCTGATGATAATCTCAGTGCTGGATATTTGTTTCTGGTTTCCTATGAAGAAGAGTGAAATCACATTGCTTCTCCTCTGCCATTTTTGTGACATCATTTTTCTTTTATTTATCAAGTGTTAGTTTATCAAATTTAATACAGAGTAAAATGGTTTAAATAGTTATTTTGCAAAATAGTATTACATGTGTTTATTTTCACCTAAGTGCTTAAGATTTCAAATGTCAAAACCAAAACCTCTGCTTTATGGTTTGGCAGCAAATTTAGCAGTAATTTCTCATCTCTTAGAAAATGACCTTTAATCAATTACTAAACAACAAATAATTGGCCTTTGAATATTTTAACCATAGAAAATTGGGGGCTCAGTATTATTTCGAAAATATTGATCATATATTTGAGATAATGAGAATGTTCTTACAAAAATATAGGAAATACTTTTACATAAGAAAATTTTTACTGTTAACCATTTTATTTAAAACCTATACAAAAAAATGAATTATTAATATTACTAGAAAAATTGTATAATCAGATGACATAATGTATGACCCAACTGTCAAAGAAGTCACAGTGACTCATTCAGAAATGCATCCTAGATTCCAAGAATTTTTCCAATCAAAAATAAAATAAAGAACAACATGCCAGTTGTGGTGGCTCATGCCTGTAATCCTAGCACCTTGAGAGACTGAAGTCGAGGGATCACTTGAGCTCAGGAGTTTAAGACGAGCCTGGGAAACATGATGATTCTTCATCTCTTACAAAAATTTAAAAAATATTTAGCCTGGTGTAGTGGTGTATGCCTGTTGTTCCAGCTACTTGGAAGGCTGATGTAGGGGGATCACTTGAGCCTGGGAGGCTGAAGGATGCAGTGAACCATGTTCACACCACTGTGCTCCAGCCTGAGTGACAGAGATACTATCTGAAAAAAAAAAAAAAAAAAAGCTAAAGCATTGTTTCTTTCTGAGAATTAAATCACTAATATCTAGTGGTGAAATAGAAATTCATAAAAGTCATCTTTTACTCCGCAGACACATTCTAATCCCTCTACTTCCTACTTATTGAATGACAAGAAAGTTTAGTTTGATGTTTTGATCATTGATTTGTCCCCAATGCATTTTTTATGTAGGTCACTTTTTAATTGGCTGAATGAAGTACTGTGTAGAGATCTTAATTGCAGAATACTTGGGAAGGCCCAGAGATTTTTGCAAACCAAAACCTATGTTAAAATTACTTTAATTTATTCTCCCTCACCATGCTCACACCAGTGAGAGACATGGTTAAGAATTTATTGCACGAACAGACAAAATGTAACATTTCTTTCTTTTTTGTGTGTGTGAGCAAATAGTTTCTAATGCCCACACCTCCTTTCACAGTACTAAAAGCACATGCAAAATAAGTTAATATTGCTTTCACAATGCTATGAAGAAATATACAACTAGATTTTTAACTAAAGATTGTATTTGTAACATAGAATATGCCTGTTAGCTGAAAAGAGTTAGGTAAAAAAAATATATTATTTTACTAGAACACATTTTTTATTTCATTTTTGAAAATACGAGCTTTTGAATATGAATCAAGTAACATGCATACTGTGGATACATTTGAAATGCTCAATAGAACAGCACTGTCTTATTTTATTTTAACCAGCAAAAATTTTGAAGGATGGAACACTTCTATAGAAGTTATTAGTAAGGCGGGGCATGGTTGCTCACGCCTGTAATCCCAGCACTTTGGGAGGCCGAGGCGGACAGATTACCTGAGGTCGGAAGTTCGAGACCAGCCTGACCAACATGGAGAAACTGCATCTCTACTAAAAAATACAAAATTAGCCGGGCGTGGTGGCACAGGCCTGTAATCCCACCTACTCAGGAGGCTGAGGCAGGAAAATCGCTTGAACCCAGGAGGCGGAGGTTGCCGTGAGCAGAGATCACGCCATTGCACTCCGGCCTGGGCAATAACAGCAAAGCAAAACTCCGTCTCCAAAAAAAAAAAAAAAGTTATTAGAAAGACACACATAGCCGAATAATTGAATGTGAATGAATACCTAAGAAAAAATATGGAGTGAGGTGGAATTGAATTTGTGATCAATTTCATAAATGTTAAGCTGACAGATTGAATCAAAGAAATATTGATAGTGCTGCGCAATATCTCCTATGTAAGTTAAAATACTAGTGGATAAAGTACCAATGCCAAATCTAAGTATATAATTTAATACAAGTAGATGAGTCCATTCAAAAATATTTTAAAACAGAGTTAGTGGTTCAAGAAGAGAGTGTATTCTGCTGAGACCATTTTCATATAGAGGAATTAAATTGCCTTTGATTTAGAAGAAGAAACACAGAGGTAGCCATTAATTCTTTCTGCTACAACCCAAACAGGTTTTTCTGTAGTATTCCTAAAGTTTCATATAGTCATATCATATTTCTGATATGTCACTAGTAAGATATTTTCTCATCATAATAGAAATAAAAATAAATCTGTTTCAGAAAGGTTAAGATAACTTAACATTTGAATGTAAACTATGATTAGTATAAAGCAGCATTTTTTCTTTCCCCTATGAATCTTAGCTTCTTTTCTGAAAAAATTCTAAATCAAACAAATTTTGATCTGCGATTGGTATCTTAGATATTCTTTGGATAAAGTGCATTCCCATAGACACATCTATGGTTCAAATCTCTAACTTTCACCAAAACCATTATAATTAATCTCATAGCATGTCTTTCTACCTTTTGTATTTCTTTATTTTGATTAACCTTCAGCAATATTTTCTGAAAATAGCTCTGATTATGTAAAATCCTTCATCAATTTAGAATAAAGCTTTCACTATAAATCTTTTACAGTGTTACACCAGTTTTTGAATTTCATCTTTACAGATACTGTATCCCACTCAATATAGACTATCCAATAATTTCTAAATATTACTATATATTTATTGTCCATTTTGTACCTTAAATGCAAACTCCATTTTCCTACCTCCAACATTACAATTATTTGATTATTCTAGATGCACTTCCATTAAATGCTTTCCAATTCTCTCTCTCTCTTTGAAACTACATAATACAAACCTGTATAATTTTTATGTATGTATTGATTAATTTAAAATGGTAGCTTTTGATATGTCCTACTGCATCTACTTTTTTATTTTAATTACACAGGATCAATACAAACAGTAGGTTAAATGATCAATAATAGAGATAAATATGTCTTTTATTTCTACCTAAAATTTTATTTCTTACAAACCTTGCTTTCTGGTTTTAAGTACATATACCTGGGTACATATAACAACTAGTATTTTTGTTTCATTTTAAGTATTTATATACTTTACACATAATTCATGTACATTGTCTTCTAAATCTCAATACATTATTTTCTAAGCTGTAACTTAAAAGTTATGTATGTACTAGACACTTATATAACATTTTTGGCTTTAATATTTTCCAATGGGAGGACATTCAGGTTATTATGTTTTTTTCTGTTAATTATAAACAGAAATAAAGAATTGTATATCTGTTTATTCTCATATTTTAATTTTCTATAAGATCAGAATTTCTAAATCAGGTTTGATGAGGTTAAGCTACAGTAAGAAAGAAATTTGAAATTCCCTGTGTAAACCATAAGGATTAATTTGTAGCTCACACTCTTTGGTCAGCATGAAGCATTGCTGCTTATTCTTATAAATAACTTCAATATTCAGTCAGGTATTGCAAAAGACACCATCTGAGACAATGATGAGAACTGATCTGAGAAAGAAAGAATGTAATACATTATACCTAAGCTCTTGAAACTTCACTTAGAAGTGAAATTTATTTGGTAACACCTATCATCAAAAGAGATGATGAAAAGGAATTTTGCCATATGCCTTTAAAGAGGAGAAAGAGAATATTTGTGAATAGTGAATAACAACATCAGATACATTGAGGCTGGAATTATTGGGTCAAAGTATATGCCTGTTTAAATAATGAACATCAGTTTTTCTGTAGCATATTAACAGTTAATATTATTATTTGTCATATTTTCTGTCTGTTTGTTGAGTAAAATTAATTCCCTATTGATAATTTTTATTTCAGTAGGCTACATTGAGAAGTTTGTAAGTGCATATTACAAGACCAGGCTTGACTTGTTAGCACTCTGCTTCCTTCTACTTGTTTTTTTCCAGTATTTTGAGTGGAGGAAAAGGAACAACACATTTTAGTCTACTTTTGTTAATTATCTTCACTTTGTTATTGGCACATCTCTGAATAAATATAGGTAAGTTTATTTCATTTTTAACAAAAATAAAAGTAAAGCACATTAGCATAAAAAAGTCAAAGTATATATAAAATAAAATTAAAAGTAACAACCTTTGTATCTTACCCTTTCTGCTAACCTCTAACATTCTCAAATTTCAAAAATTTTAATATTTATAAAATGACATATATTTAAATACTGTAGGTGTTTTGGTTATTTATTGATGCTATATTAACCCAAACTTAGGTTTGAATAGCAACCATTGAATTATTTTTTATAAATGTCTTGATTGAAGATTTGGACAGGCCACGTAGAAGAGAGCTCCTCTCTGCTCTATAATATCTGCTAGGGCTGAGTGTCCAAGATGATGTCTTCATTCATATATATGGCACTTTAGCTAGGGTAGCTCTACTTGTTGGGGTCTGGATGGGATGACTCAGGATCATATTTTGATTTTTAGTTCTCCCTAGTGGCTGAATTACTCAGTTTTTTCCATGTAGTATACAGGCCTTTTTATTTCCAGGAAGTATCTTCACATATTTTCTGTAACAGCTTAGTTGCTATGGTTTGAATGTGTCCCCCTGAATTTCATGTGTTGAAAACTTAATCACCAAACTCATATCTTGTTTGGAGGTGGCACCCTTAGGAGATAATTAGTATTGTCTATGATCATCAAGGTGGGGCCCTTATAATGGGATTGGTGGCTTTATATGAAGAAAAAAAGGGATCTGAGCTAGCACACTTGCTTTGTCTTGCAATGTAATATCTCCTGCCATGTCATAATGCAGCAGGAAGGCTCCAGTGCCATGCTCTTGGATTCCCCAGACTCCAGAACTGTGAACTAAATAAACTTATTTTCTCTATAAATTGCCCACCTTGTAGTATTCTGTTACAGCAATAGAAAATAGACCAATACAGTAGCCACATATTTTCCACAGAGGCTCAAGGTTCACAAGAAAGTTGAAATGTTTTATCCTATTATAGGCTAGACCTGGAATTGAAATATTTGATTAGTCAAAGGCAGGGTTCAGGCATACCAGACTCAAAAGTGTGAACGAATAAGCACCATATCTAAATGATGAAAATGACAATGCAATAATGACATTTCTAACTCAAACACATTCTAACCTTTGGTCACAAAGTATTTTTATTTTTCTTATATGCAAAATATACTCACCCTTTCCAAAACTTCAAAGATCTCAGGATTATATGACATGATGGTTAAGCTGAAATTCCTAGGTCTTGTCATAGAAATTATGGCCAGGTACAGATGAGACTCCTCATTTATGGCTTCTCATTATTTGAAGACCTATGGATTAAAATACAAGATATTTGAACACACTCTTCTCCTCCAATATACGATTTTTAGGCAAGGACTTGAAAGTAAGTCCATTCATACAGGGTGAAAATGAATGGACATGTCAGTCACTGGACTATTAAAGATCTAGAAAGGCAGTTTGAAATATATCTCCAGTTTCTGGATTAAGGCGTTGTTCTGCTTCCTAGAAATAATTCTGTGTCTCTTATGTTCATTCTTCTGCTATCTTGGCTACATCCTCTGAATAATCATTTCTTTCCCATTAGACATAATTTATTTTTTATGTTTGAGTAGCTTTCTCAGATTTCTCAGAAATTAGGATTACTACCCATTGGTAGTTGAGAGTTCAAAGGTCTCTTCTTTGCTTTATAAGTTACTGATATTTTCAGTCCATGTTAATGTAATTTCCTTAGAAACATTATGGGTTCCTGTACATCAATTTATAGTTTTACATGAGAAAAAAAAAGCCACAGTTCAAATCTCTTCCAGACAGGCCCTCCTCTATCTCCACTCATGAGTCAGTATGCTGTGGGACAAAATCTTTGAGACTGTAGAGGTCTCCTCTCTCTCTTACAAGGTTTACAAGGCAAGACTTTAAGATTCTTAGAAGTACTGCTACTACCTTAGAAAAACCTGTGAAGCATCCTCTTCAAAAAGGGTCTTTCATTTACACCACTTATATAATCTTGACCATAAAGCTGTTTTGCTTGTAGCACCTTGTAATGTGTCTTGCCCCAAGTTTGTATTTCTTTTTATAATCTTTTGTTCTTTAGAAAAGTTTGCAATTAACAGATATTTGTATTTCCCAACTTTGCAAGTCCTGTGTTGAAAATGTTTCTTTTAGGTACGTTTGAAAACTAAACAGTTCCTTCTATACTTAATCTCTTTCTATTTATATATTATCTTTCCTCTTATCATATGAAAGTTGAACTTTCAATATCCTGCTTGAAAATGTCCTTGGCCAATTCCACAACTTTAGGTATATGTGTGTGTGTGTGTGTGTGTGTGTGTGTGTGTGTGTGTGTGTGTGTGTATGTATTATTTTCCACATTACTTCAGTCCCAGTGTTGCCAAATATTCTTTTACTGAATAACATAGCTTGTCACTGTTCTACAGGTCTTAACTGATAGTTTTCTCAAGGAACCACTGCACCTTTTCACTAAGCAATCCTAAAGCCAATGTTTATAGGCTTTTGTTTTAGTAGCAGCCACTTTGGGTACAAATTTCTGCTATTGGTGTCTATAGATACCTAATAAACTCCTTCAGATTTGATAGGTTAAAAAAATTATCTCTCACAATTCTATATGATAACTTCTCTCTCTGCTCAACATGGTATCTACTAAGGTTGGAATGTCCAAGATGGTTTATTCATTCTTGTCTTTATCTCCTGATCTAGGATAGCTCTAATCAATGAAGACTAGCTGGAATGATTTAACTGGGGTCATATTTCTGGATTCTTAGTTTTATTTGTTAACTAAATTATTCTCTTCTCTTTCATGTAGTCTCTGGTCCGCTTCATTTCTTCATGGCATCTTTGTGTAGTCTGTCAAAGAGGGTAGCCTAAACTCTTGTTCTACAACAATTAATCTTTCTCATACTTAGGCAAAATCTGTTGTCTCCATAATATGAATAAAGAGGAATCTTGCAAACTTAAACTATTCTGCTTCTATTTCCTAACTTACCATATGATTTCTTAGCTATATTATCATTTTCTGTTTCAGTGGTTACAAGATTTGAATAATCAGCTCTTTTTTTATTTAGCAAATTTATACATGTTATCTTTTATCATCTATCATGAAATATCAGAAAATTAGAACAATATAACATTTCCACTAGCTTCTTGACACCTCTGCCAACGGTATTGTTAATTACAAATTTAAGGCTGCAATGAGAATATTGTGTAAGTCCTCTAGGTTTTGACTATACAAGTATTTCTAAAAAACTAAATTTCACTGTTTGTGCTTATGTAAATATCATTTACTGTGGTACATAATGGAGTTACATTTAAAAACTATCCTTAGGCAACTCAAATTTGCTGTTAAAATAAAAATATTTCAAGTATTCAGTCTAGTAAAACTTCTTCTCATTTTTTTCTGAATTTATTAAGTTAATTGTACTCTCTACTTTCCAATTTTGTCAGTAGGATATTATATTATATCTTGAATTCTCCTCAAACCCACCTCTGTGATTATACCTAAGTGGGGAAACTTTTTGAAATATTGCATACATCAAGATATCTCTCTTTGTACTCATCCTTGAAATGTGATTGGGTCTAAAATCCTAAGGTGAATATGATTTATTTTTCATATAGAACTTGAAAAGTAGTGTTTTTTAGCATTAACAGGTAATTGAATGACTAAAGGATACTTTTTTATTTGTTTATATGCAATGCTTTCTTCAATAGAATAATTTTTCTTTCTTTCTAGTATATGAATATTATGAATATGTCAAAAGCTCTGAAAAATAATGTTGCCTTTTTATTCTTGAAACCTTTAATGCCACTTTAGCAAACAATAAAAACCCTCAGATTCTCTTACCTTAAAGCAATCTGCCCCTGTCATGACTAACTTCAATGCACAGGATCAAAAAGTAGTATCTTACATATTAAAAACACTCATTGTAAGTTGTGTAAGGTTGCATGCTTGACAGACTTCTTAAATGCAAACATACTCCAGGGGTCCTGTAGAAAGTGTTAGTTGTCTTTTGATGGGTAGCATTTCCTGCTCAGTCAGTGGATTAGTGAGGATGAGATTAGCAGGCTGGGAAGTCAACTGCTGTAGCTGATGAGCATCCTATTTTTTAAAAAATTCAATTTTTTTCTTTTTTTCTTTTTGGATCTTCCACCTACTTTTAGCTTTTATTTTAAAAAATGCAGATGTTTCTGTTTTCTCATGAAAGAAAACACTTACTGTGTTCTATCTACAGTTGATAATTTCTTCCCCAATCACATCTATTTTCTATCTTCTACAAACACTTAAAAGTTATATTTCAATTATACAATCTCCTTTCTACTTCCATTAGTATTTCATTTATGGGTGACTTTTATGAGTATAGAGGATTGAGAATAAACAAACTTATGAATTCACTTTGCCAGAGGGCAAATTCTTGAATTACACTTTCGGGATTCATATCTTATCTCAGCTGTTAACAAACAGTATAACACTGGACAAGTTACTTAACCTTTCTCTGCATGCCTGTTTCTTCATACTTTAGTGATAATAACTACTTCATAGAAAGCTTATGAAAATTGAAAACATTTATATTGACAAAGCTCTTAGATGACCACTTTTCATATATGATCAGTGAAATAAAAGTGACAAATCCAAAAAGTTTTAAGAATAATTTAAAATACAAAATTATATAAAGTTATTCTAACATTAATAAACTGTATGTTTTAGTGTAAGTTAAATTATACCCTTCATAACTTTATATAGAAAGACAGCTGGGTATGGTGGCTCACACTTGTAATCCCAACACTTTTGGAGGCTGAGGCAGGAGGATTGCTTAAGCCCAGGAGTTTGAGACCAACCTTGGCAATACAAGGAGACCCTGTCTCTATAAAAATCATTTTTTTTTAAATTTTCAGATGTGGTGGCACATGACTGTAGCCCAGCTACTTGGGATGCAGAGGTGGGAGGATTGATTGAGCCAGGAGGCTGAGACTGCCATGAGCCATGATTGTGCCACTATACTCCAGCATGAGCAACAAAGCAAGACCCTTTCTCAAAAAAAAAAAAAAAAAAAGGAAAGAAAGAAAAGAAAAAGAAAAACAAGCACATTTTATTTTCTTCTAGCCATTAACCAGACTATATTATAAGATCAAGTAACCATTTGTATAATATATAGTGGTTTATATGCACCCTCTACACACACACACACACACAGACACACACAAAACCCTATTAATGATTTACATAAAATCAAGGTGTATGTTTGTTCACCAATATTCAACACATAACTTCTTATTCACAATTGTATATAGTCACACACACATTTAGAAATTACACGCTGGCTTATAATTTGCTTTAAAAAGAACATATTACATTCATTGTTAAGAGTATTGGAAACATCACAGTAAAACATTTCAAGAGCTTTTGCAGACTTATTGAGAACACTTAGGCAAAGTGTTGATTCCAAAATGTCACACCCTGTAAAAACATTACTAAAGGCCTGTGAGCTTTATTTTAAACTGAAGCTCTTTAGTTTCATGAAATATTTCTATTATTCTGTCATGTTTTTTCTCTCACATAGTTATTATTTGAATTTGGCACAATTGGGGGAAAGATAGTTTTTACATGAAGGAGAATCCCCTATATAATATGGTTTATTGGAGATAATTAATTATTCTTTAGGGTCGATTCAGTTGTAGCATGTGTCAGAACAGTGAATCAAATAGTGATTTGACTGACAATACCACCTTTACAAACATTCGATTTATTTTTTTCTTAAAGTTACATGGCTTCCCCTCTGCTTTGTTGAAGCTGAGCTATTTGTCTTTATTGACATTAACTTCTAATTATATTTTTCAACTTTTATTTTGGTTTCAGAGGATGAATATGCATGTTTTTAACATTGATATGTTATGTAATGCGTAGGTTTGGAGTATGGATAATCCTGTCACTCAGTTAATGAGCACAGTACCCAATAGTTTTACAGTCTGTGCCCCCTTCTTTCTCACCCTCCTCCTCAGTACCTATTGTTTCCATCTCTATATCCCTGTATACTCAAGGTTTACCTCCCACTTGTAAGTGAGAACATGCAATATTTGTATTTCAACAGTATCTAAGCATTCTTTTCTTTGCCAGCATCTGTTACTTTTTGATTTTTTAACAATTCCCATTCTGACGTGAAATTGTATTTCATTCTGGTTTTCATTTGTGTTTCTCTGAAGATTAGTGATGATGAGCATTTTATCATATATGTTTGTTGGCCACTGGTAGGTCTTCTTTTGAGAAGTGTCTTTGCATGTTCTTTGCACACTTTTGAATAGGATTATTTGTTTTTTGCTTGTTGATTCGTTTGATTTCCTTATTAATTCTAGATACTTGGCCTTTGAAGGATGCACAGTTTGCAAATATTTTCTCCCATCTGCTACTTGTCGGTTTACTCTGTTGATCAGTTCTTTTGCTGTACAGAAGCTCTTTCATTTAATTAGGTCCCACTTCTAAATTTTTTTTTGTTACAATTGCTTTTGGGGACTTAGCCATAAATTCTTTGCTAAAGCTAATATCAAGAAGGGCATTTCCTAGGTTGTCTTCTAGGATTCTTATAGTTTGTGATCTTACATTTAAACTTTTAGTCCACCTGGAGTTAATTTTTGTACATGACAAAAGGTAGGGTTCCAGTTTCATTTTTCTGCCTATGGCTAGCTAGTCATCTCTACACCATTTATTAATTATGGTAGACTTTTCCCGTTGCTTGTTTTTGTTGACTCTGTCAAGGATCATATGATTGTAGGTGTGCAGGTTTATTTCTGGGCTCCCTATTATGTTCCATTAGCTTATATTTCTATTTTTGTACCATGTTATTTAGTTACTGTAGCCTTATAGTATAGTTTGAAGTTCAGTAATATGATGCCTCTAGCTTGGTTTTTTGCTTATAATGCTTTGGTTGTTCGGGCTATTTTTATGATTCCATATAAATTTTAGAATAGTTTTTTCCATATCTGTGAAAAAATGACATTGGTATTTTGATAGAAATAGCATTAAATCTGTAAATTGCTTTGGACAGTATGGCCATTTTAACAATACTGATTCTTCCGATCCATGAATGTGGACGTTTTTTTTTTTTCATTTATATGTATTGTCTGGATTTATTTCAGCATTTTTTGTAGTTTTCCTTGTAGAGATCTTCGACACCCTTGGTTAGGTGTCTTATTAGATATTTCCCTTTTTTATGGCTATTGTAAATGGGTTTGTGTTCTTGATTTAGCTCTCATTGAGGATATTATTGGTATATAGAAATGCTACTGGGTTTCATACATTGATTTTGTATCCTGTAAATTTACTGAAGTTATTTATCAGTTCGAGGAGCAGTTGGGCAAAGACTATGGGGTTTTCTAGGTATAGAATTATGTTAATAGTTAAGAGAGATATTTTCCCTTCTTCTTTTCCTATTTAGATGCCTTTTTATTCTCTCACCTCTGATTGTTCTGGCTAGGACATCCAGTACTATGTTGAATAGCAGTGGTGAGAGTAGGCATTCTTGTCCTTCCAGTTCTCAAGGGAAATGGTCTCAGCTTTTTCTTGTTCAGTATGATATTGGCTGTGGATTTGTCATCGATGGTTCTTATGATTTTGGACGTATGTTCCTTAGATACTCAGTCTGTTGGGGGTTTCTGTTATAAATGGATGTTGGATTTTATGGTGCTTTTTCTGCATCTATTGAGATGATCATGTGCTTTTTGTTTTTTATTCTGTTTATGTGATAAATCACATGTATTTATTTGAGTATGTTAAAACCCAACTTTTATATTCCAGGAATAAATCTTACTTGTTTTTGGTAAATTAACTTTGTGATATGTTATTAGATTCAGCTTGCTAGTATCTTCTTGAGGATTTTTACATCCATTTTCATCAAGTATACTGACTTGAAGTTTTCTTTTGTCATTGTGTCTCTGATAGATTGTGTATCAGGATGATGCTGACTTTGCAGAATAAGTTCGGAAGGAGCTCCTCATCATCAATTTTTTTGGAAATATTTTTGGTAAGATTGATACCACTTCTTTTCACATCCAGTAGAATTCTGCCATGAATCCATCTTGTTCAGGGATTTGTTGTTGTTGTTGTTTAATTAATGATTTGATATCGGAACTTTTTATTGGTCTTTTCAGGTTTCCACTTTCTTTCTGCTTCAATCTTGAGATGTTGTGTGTTTCCAGGAGTTGTTTTTCTGCAGATTTTCTAATTTTTGTGCATAGAGGTGTTCATAAGTCTTTGAGGATCTCTTATATTGCTGTGGGATGAGTTGTAATGTCACCTTTGTCATTTCTGATTGTACTTATTTGGATATTATCTTTTTTCCTTTGATAATCTAGCTGGAGTTCAATCAATCTTGTTTATTCTTTCAAATAACCAACTCTTGCCTTCATTGATATTTCAGTTGTTTGGATTTTTACATCTCAATTTCTTTTAGTTCTTCTTCTTTTTTTTTTTTTTTTGCGCTAACTTTGTGGTTATTTTGCTTGTTTTTTTATCCAGTTCCTCCTGGTATGATGTTAAATTGTTAATCTGAGATCTTTGTAACTTCTTGATAAAGGTATTTAGCATTATCAGCTTTCCACTTAACACTGCTTTACCCACATACCAGAGACTTGGAAAGTTGTGTCTCTATTTTTATTAATTTCTATTGTTTTTTTCATTTCTCCCTGAATTTTGTTTTTTACCCAAGTTATTCAGGAGCAAGTTGTCTAATTTCCTTTTTTTTTTAATAGATCTTCCTGGCATCACTTTCTATTTTTATTGCACTGTGGTCCACATTGTGCTTGGTATGATTTTGATTTTTTTAATTTATTGAGATTGGCTTTACGGTTGAGCATGTGGTCAATCTTAGACTATGTTCCATTATGAGGATGAGAAGAATGTATATTCTATGATTGTTGGGTGGAGTATTCTGTAGATGTTTATTAGGTCTAATTGATCATGTGTTGAGCTTAAGTATAGAATCTCTTCACTAGTTTTTGAGTAAATGATCTATCTAATGATATATTAGTGGAATTTTAAGTTCCTTACTCTTATTGTGTGGCAGTCTAAATACTGTCATAGATTTAAAAGAACTTGTTTTATGAATCTGGATGCTGCAATGTTGGGTAAAAATATATTTAGGATAGGTAAGTCTTCTTTTTGAATTGAACCTTTATCATTATATAATTTCCTTCTTGGTCTTTCCTGATTGTTTTTGGTTTGAAGTCTGTTTTATCTAGTATAAGAATAGTGAATCCTGCTCTTTTTTTGTTTTCCATTTGCATAGTAGTTCTTTGTCCATTTTAAAAAATTATTATTATTATTATTTTACTTTGAACCTTTGAATGTTACATGTGAGATTCATCTCTTGAAGACAGCAGAACGTTTTCTTTATCCTCCTGCCCTCTGTATGCCTTTGAAATGTGGCATTTAGACCATTTAAATTCAAGGTTAGTATTGATATGTAAAATTTTATTCCTGCCGTCATGTTGGTAGCTGGTTGTTTTGTAGACTTGATTGTGTAATTGCTTTATGTTATCTGTGGGCTATATGCTTATGTGTGTTTTCGTGGTAGTAGGTATTGACCTTTCATTTCCATGTTTAGCACCCCCTTGAGGATTTCTTGTAAATCTGGTCTGTTGGTAATAAATTCCCTTAGTGTTTGCTTGTTAGAGAAGAATTTTATTTTCCCTTCACTTATTAAGCTTTATTTGGCAGAATAAAAAATTCTTGGTTAGAATTTCCATTCTTTGAGGATGCTGAAAATAGGCCCTCAATTTTTTCTGGCTTATAAGGTTTCTGCTGAGAGATCCACTGCTATTCTGATGAGGTTCCCTTTAGAAATGACCTGACCCTTCTCTCTGGCTGTATTTAAGATATATTTTTTCACATTGACCTTGGTGAATCTGATGACTATGCACCTTGGGTATGGTTATTTTGTACAGTATCTCAAGGGGATTATGTGTATTTCTTGACCTTATATGTCAACCCCTCTAGTAAGATTGGGGAGGGGTTTTTTTTATGAACATCTTCAAATATGCTTTACAAGTTGCTTACTCTCTCTCTCTTTTTCTTTCAGGAATGGCAGTGAGTTGTAGAATCAGTCTGTTTACATGATTCCGTATTTCTCAGAGGTTTTGTTTATGTTTAAAAATTCTTTTTATTCTTTATTTTGGTCTGATTGATTTAATTTGAAGACCTGGACTTCAAGCTCTGAGATTCTTCCTCATTTTGGTCTATTCTGCTGTTAATGCTTTCAACTATATTATAAAATTCTTGTAGTGATTTTTTTCAATTTTAAGAATTCAGTTTGGTTCTTTCTTTAAATGGTTATTTCATTTCTCATATTTTGAATTGTTTTACTGGATTCTTTAAATTCATTGGATTAGGTTTTACTTTTCTCCTGGATCTTAATGAGCTTCCTTGCTTTCTAGATTCTGATTCTGATTCTGTGTCTGTCATCCCAGTCATTTTAGTGTGGTTAAGAACAATTATGCAGGGGTGTGGGGTGGGGAGTAGTGTTTTCATCTGAAGGTAAAGAGACACTTTGGCTTTTTCAATTGCTAGAATTTGTGTGCTGATTCTTTCTCATCTGAAAGGGTTGATATTCCTTTAACTGTGGTGTAAATTGAGTATAGTCAGTTTCATTTCTGAATGCTTTCAGGTGGCAATTCCTGAATTTTTTTATTTGTATCTGAATTCTTGTCTTGGGTTTCACAGACACTGCATAATGGAAAAATATTTTTGGTGTTATAATTTTGGCTGATATCCAGTAGATGGTGCTTAAGAGTGATGGTGAGGATTTAGGCTCTTACATAGCTATTCCATTTTTTTGTGTTTTATCACATTCACAATAGTGCTCTGCGGTGGAGTGGGAAAGAAAGATGACCTCTCACCAGTTCCACTCTTGGGCCTTGAAGGAGGCCCTTCTGATCACTGGGTCCATGCCTCTATGTCCTTTCTTAGGTGTTCCAGGCCACAGGGCTTCCTCAAGCAGAGGCCACAGCTGGCAGACAAACCACCCCCTTCTTGGATCAGCCCTGCAAAGTGAAGTATGCCCTGCTCCCATGACAGCTTATGAACCCAGCATCACATCCTACTCAGTTCTGATAAAGAAGACACCTCTCTCATTCAGGTACTGCCAAACTGCATGTCTTGCTTGAATGGAAGCAGTCAAGGCTGGGGGAGTTCCATGTCCACTGTCTGGACATTTCCTGTGAGAACACAAAGCTGTGCCAAGGTGCTGGAAGCTCAAAACAATGAGGCATACCTGGCTCTGAACAGTGGGTGTAAAAGGAGTTACACAGTCTGTCATCAGGGTGGTTCCCAGGGCAACACAGAGCTTTGCCCATCCACAGCATTCAGGTAGGGGTGGGGTTGCTGTTCTAGAAGTCCAAGCTGGCAAGTCTTGCCTGGCCAGGGGCGGTGGGAGTTGGAGGTTTGCATGGTCCGTGGTATGTGAAGTTTCTGGGGGAATACAGTCCTGTGCCCACCTGAAGAGTTCAGGCGTGGGTAGGGTCACTGTGCTGGAAGCCCAGCAGAGCCTTGTCTAGCAAGGAGAAGTAGGGCAGTCTGACCACTCCCCAGCACTGTAATTGCAGCCTCTATCAGCATTATGGCAGCTGGCACCAACCTGTGGGACTGTGGGGCTCCCCATGGTCTCGAGCACCGTCTTTGCAAAAACTCAAGGTGGCTCTGTTTTTTATTCTAGAGATCTATGGGAGTCAGGTGATTCTCTGGCTTCCCAGATTGCAAAAGTACCTGTGGTAAATGTAGATTCCCCAGGGGCTCTTACTGTCTCTCCATTTCCCTGTATTAGGGAGCTTCTCCCAGGTCTATACCACATCCAGGTGGGTGGCTGCTAAGCCTCACTCTTCTTAATTCTCCATGCATCTCCTCACTTCTTTGATGGATCTCAACATGGTTTCTTAGACAATCCACTTGAAGAGTCAGTATTTACTCAGCACTTTACTTTCTGTCAGAGTGGTACACACTAACTGCTTCTAGTCAGCCATTTCAAATAAAAAGAATCCTAGATCTTTATTTTCTATTTTACTTTTACATTTATTTTTTCATTTTTTCTTTTATTTCAATAGTTTTGGGCGGATATATAGCAGTACATATAGCGCATTTTCTTTATCCACTTGCGAGCTGATGAGCATTTAAGTTAGTTCCATATTTTTGCAGTTTTAAATTTTGCCACTATAAACATGCATGTACATGTGTCTTTTTCATATTAGGATGTCTTTCCTTTGCAAACCCTAGGTCTTTAAGGATGGTACTAAGAATTGTCATTCCTCCACTTCTAGATAAAATATTATTTGTGATTTACTATATTCACTAAAGACGAAGAACTTTCAAGAATTCTAATTGGCATTCCCCATTGTGGCATCCCTTATTCCAGAAGCCAAGGCCTTGATGAGATGATTAAAACTTCCAAGTATGTCAATCTCAATTATGCACTTCGGAGCAAGAGAAAGAACGGATAGAAGGGTCTGCAGATTCAATGAAGTTACTATAGGCTGAAATTTAGCCAGCATTCGATTTTATTCCCTAGCCATGTATATCCCCTTGCTAACAGAGGAGTCACAGTGCTACTTTATGCCTACAGTCACCAATGTCAACTCACATACTGGGTTTAGTAGTCCTCAGAATATACAGATATTTCCTTTCCCCAAGTCCATAAGGAAAGGGTCCTCTGAAAAGGGTCTGTGAATAAGCTTTACAGTTTATACTTAAAGTGGTATGGCATGATACTCTATCCTAGGGACCTAGACACATCTTTAGCTAATGGATTTTGGAACTGTAAATTGGCTTAAATTTGAAAATCAAGGAGGGACTCATACATTTCCATTGAGGCCATCCTTTCATCCTTCTGCTTCTACCTTACTGCTTTCTTTTGATTATAGATATTAAGTACCCCAATTGTTTGTCTCTTTTTACCTATTGGCATACCACTTTCTATTAGCCATCTTAACAGGTCTCTGAGGGTCAATATCCTTTGACTATCCCTCTAGCTTTGTTGGTCATGATGGCTATTGTGACTTCTTGAACATAACACTCTGCACATGTCCTCTATTATTTTGAGGCCTCATCTTCCTTACATGAATAAATTAAGCATTGTGATCACCTTTCCTACTTTCATCCTTAATCTTCAGTGGGGTGCCAACATTGAATTTTTATAGAAACATATCATATTTGAAAAGATCTATTACATAAGAAGAAATCACATCATTTATATGGTTTTCTTTGGTAGGTAAGAAATGTATCCTGAATAAATACATCAGGATACTTGTCTATAATGATTTATTTTGACGTCCTGTCATAATATCAATACATATTTGTTATCTGAAACTTAATGTGTAGTAAATAACTATGCATGTTTTAATATTCTTTAAAAATAAGTAAATATAGTTAATAAGTATGTTAGAATAATCATTAATCAGAGTATGAATAGGAGATTTCTGAAATTTTGAAAATCACGATTAATATATCTACTTTGAATCATTGAAATAATGAATTACCTAGAATTTACAACAAGTTGTACTTGATGACTTTAGGTTAAAATTAGTTTTTAAAAATTAAATTAATATTAACTGACTTGAAGTGTATTTAACAGTTTAATGAATTATTCAATTACATGTATATTCAGTTAGCTTTTCTGATTTCTGTATAGATTACATATATATTACATTCCCTACTTTGTCTTTGATAGTTCCATTTTGTTTTCCCACAGCTCCTTTTAAAGTACTGTCAGCTGCTTTGGTGTAATGAAGTAAAAAATCACATCATCTCTAAATTATCCCCCACATCATCAAATTTTAGAAGTAAATTCAAGGTTTCCCTTATCATGGAAAAATAGACATTGTTAACATGTTTGCTTTTTTGTGATGACAAGACATTTTATATATAACAAAGTATTTTATATCATACAAAATACTTGATATCAATTATTAATATTATATTTTAAAGATTTTGTTTTGAAAGCTCCTTAAAAAAACATGTTTTTCTAATGGTCCAAAAGGAATACTGAATAGCAAAGTTTACAAAAAGAGAAAAGGCTTATTGAGATGCTTAATAAGCTAAACAGATTTAGCTTATTTTAGATTAGCAAAACCCATAAACTATATATTATTTTTATAATATGATATTTTTAAAGTATATATCATACCTAAATCCAAGTAGGAGTCCTGGTGAAATGAACACATCTCTCCTGTATTTGCATATAATCAGCATTTGTAGCTTTCAAACTGTATGCATTTAGTGGGCATTTAATACATGTTTGTATCCTTTGTTGATGTGTAGAATCCATTCCTAAAACATGAAGAATCAAACTCCCTAGCTTAGATTGTATTATTATATATACCAAGCCAATCTGCTAGAAATAAATCAATTTCTCCTGTTTTCATGAACGAGTACTGGAAGGTTTTGTTACAAAAGGATGCCAGAAAAATTCTGTACTTCCCTGTGATTTTATCTTCCAATAAGTATAACAGAGTTCCTAATATCAGGAAATCTAAATCAGTTACTTTTTTGTAATCACCCACTTGACATCTATGAGCACAAATATAGAGTTGATTTCAAAAGTGCTGATTTTCATTGACCTCTTTCTATAGTTACTTAATATATGTATTACATGTAAGGAAAGTGTTTCACCAATGCTCTTCAGTTATAACCTTATTACTTTCTGTCTAAGGAAAATGAAGGATATGTAATAAATTTCTGTGCTTTTTAACTACAGCTTCAGAACTAAATAAACCTGATATCCAAACCTAGAATTACTTCTTCCATTTCTGTGACCTTAGGTATAATTAGCTATTCTCATATCACTGGTCCTCCAGAGTTAGAATAATTGTGCCACCATTTATGGCTCTTAGGTGAAAGGATAATAAATGCAAAGCCTCTTCACTGTAAGCACTCAAATGGTAGGTATTATTTTGCTTTTGATTCAAGTACATGCTTTCGTCTTTATCATTAACATAAAATAAATTCATTATATAAGCAATTTTGTGAAAACATATCCCAAGAAATGATGAATTTGGGTTTCAAACTGTTAAAGGAAATCAATGTTTGAAATACAAATATTTTAAAATTATATTAATTTAAATGTGCTTTCTTAGCAAAGATGTTATTTTCTGGTTCTACGTTAGACCTAAGAAAGCCCAAAATGAGAAACTTAAAAGACTGAGTGCAATAGTTATATTTAGCTCTCCTAGCTGATTGCACACTGATTGCAGGAACAACAAAAATAATTCCTGCAATTAAATGGGTTGCCTAACTTGATAAGTACCTGTACACATTTAGCTGGATTCAAGGAGCTGGAATATATTTTAGAAACTTAACTGTGTAGGAAAGGCTATAGATTGTGTATTTGCAATCAACATCTTTTCTAAATGATGAAGTGGAAAGAAAATATATAATTTACTTTTTCCAGAATTCTAAAGCTTTATTCAATATGCTTTGCATATTTTATATTTTCCACAAATTCATAGCACTATGCAAGTGAAATCATATTTTCTATGTGTGTTGAAAACCAACCAGAACTGTTTCTCCAAATAATCAATTTTTTATTAATACTTTCATGAAAAGTTAAATGACCAATTTTATTTTGTAGTCAGCAAGTGTGTGTGCGTGTGTATATATATTTATATATACATGTATGTATGTGTGTGTGTATATACTTTTCTGAAAAATGTGCATTTTAGCCAATTGCCTTGTTGGCCGTTTCTATGTAGTAGATATGTTCTTGAAAAATCAGTGCAAATTATAATATAAATTGGTTGCATTCTTTTGTAAATTAATTAGAGAGCTAAATAATGCTTCCAAAATGTGGCAAAGAAAAAGGCATTGCACAGAAGTACATCTCCCAAAGTACCTTTAGATGAAAAAGTCTTTAGTGAATTTAGGCTTGGACAGGATTTCTGAATCTAAAATATTACCTAATTGTCAACACTTTTTGGTTTCTGGTTTTTCCCTAGATTCTGAAATTTATTGACTCCTTGTTAATTTCTTTGTTCATCTCTACAGTCTTTCATTGAACTATAATCTGATTATGGGTGCTGGGTGTTGAGGTTGTTTATCTTTCTCTTGTATATTTGTTCAAGTTTTCCACAAGGAAGAAGTTTCCATCTTCAGATATAATATAATAGAAAAGATGCAGTATTTCTGTGTTTTGGCCCAACATCTTTTCTCCCATATCAAAAATCAAACTCTTAAAATTGTGATTCAGAATTCAAAATAAATTCTGAATATACCTCTGAAATATAAAGCTACAACATTCCTAAGTGTTATGCAATTTATAAGCATTACTCTCTTTAGCAGCAAGCAATGGAGAGGCTGAGATAGATCCAGGCTTCCATTTGTAGTTATTGGCCTAAGTAGCGCATATGCAACCTCAGTAACTCAGGTTAGGACTGCTCAAGTTCTTAATTTTGTGACCGTTCACCCAGAAAGATGTGCATGTAAGAACATTAGGAAATAGCAATGTTGTTAACAAAGATACCTCTGGAAGTAATTTTATGACACAGAAATGTAGTCCAAAAGTTGAGGGACAGATAGATAGAAATTAGGCAGATGGCTGGACACAGGGGCTCATGACTATAACCCAGCACTTTGAGAGGCCGTGGGTTGATCACTTGAGTCCAGGAGTTCAAGACCAGCCTGGCCAACATGGTGAAACCCAGTCTCTACTAAAAATACAAAAAATAGCCGGGCCTGGTGGCGCATGCCTGTAATCTCAGCTACTCGGAAGGCTGAGGCACGAGAATCACTTTAACTTGGGAGGCAGAGGTTGTAGTGAGGCAAGACTGTGACATTCCACTCCAGCCTAAACAACAGAGGGAGACTCTGTCTTGAAAAAAATAAAGAAAAAAAAGCAAATTAGGCAGATGATTGGTAGATAGATCTAGAGACGAGAGAAGGGAGAATGAAAAGGGAAGAAGGCAAGAAGTTGAGAGGAAGGAAGAAAAGAGGAGGCTTGGTTGTGGAAGTGGGTTTTAAAGAGCTTTAAACCAATGGTCATCTCTTTATTTTTGCCTCTTATTGAAAATACTTCTTCAAAATATTTTCTCAATATTTTTGCCTCTTATTGAAATTACTTACTTGTTCATTATCTTTTCTCCTTTAATTATGCCTATTGTGGTACATGGCAGCAGCTTTGATTTCCTTTAGATTTCCTGCTATTGGCTATGCTATGCTACTCACAACTTTACTCTCAGGACCAAAAACTGAACATATCACAATTTCCTGAAGGCTTAAGACCTCAGCTTCATTTTTATTCACTTGCAAATATAATTATTCAAGCCAATGCCAGCCCCAACAATTTTTTTAATAATTTAAAAATTTTCTGTAATTTTTATAATTATATTTTCTATAATTTTATTAAAATGTCTATACTTTTTACAATTCTATGTTTTTCTATAATTTGGTATAATTTATAAATATAAATTTTCTAAATTTTTAATAATTTTATTTGAAATATAGGAATCTATTACATTTTTCTATTTTTAAATAATTTCTAATTTTTTCTATAATTTTCTATAACTTTTTAATAATTTTCTCTAATGACTTCTTAGTAAAGTCAAAATATTGACTTTGCTTAAAGAGAACATGATGATGATACACAGTACATTTTTGTTAACGTACAGTGTGAGAAACTAATTGAGATGCTGATTTATCCCTAATATTTTATTAAGCTCATTTAACGCTTAGTTTTAAATTGATTATTTGTTATTTGCTCAGAATTACACAATGGTGCAATGGAACAAAATAGAGAAAGAAAATAATTTTAAAAATCTACATATCAATTTATATTAATATTATGATAAGATGAAATTTCTATTTCATGAAAAAAGATATAACTATTCTATAATTTGCTATACTTTTGCAACTGGCTTTAAACACTAGAAGATTAATAAACAGAAGAGGTGGTATTGGGGCTTAGGCAAGTTTGATTCTAAACTAAATGCTCTTTCCAATTTTACATACTGCCTCCTTAAGTAGAAAATTTAATGAATTCTTTTTTCCTTCTAAAATAATGTTTTGGGAAATGTATACAATTTCGAAAAATAAAATAGTCTGCACATAGGTATTAATATGGTGTGGTATTTCTTTCCAGGTCATCGAGTTTGTTTATACAGATATATATATATATATATTTATTTATTTATTTTTATTTTTATTTTTATTTATATATATATATTTTTTAAGAAATGGGAATTGTAACAGTCTTAGTTTACGCTGCTATAATGGAATACCATCCACTGGGTGGCTGAAACAAGATAATTGTTTTTGCCCTTACAATTAAGGAGACTGGGAAGTGAATGATCAAGTTGCCAGCAGATACGTCTGGGCAGGGTACTCTTCCTGGTCTGCAGATGGCCCTCGATTCCTATCCTTATAGGGGAGGAGAGAGAAGAGACCATCCTCTTCTGTGTCTCTATAATGACACTAATAACATTCATGAGGGCTCTACCCTGGTGACCCAATCACTTCCCAAGCACACACCAACAAATACCATCATCTGGGGGATTTAGGATTTAACATAGAAATTTTGGAGGGACACAGACTTTCAATACATAGCAGTACCCTATGTATACACAATTATTGTTTTATATTTTTAACTCAACGTCATACTTTGGCATTTTTTTTTCTAGAAGTGACTTTTTCTTAGTTCTTGCTTAACTTACCTCTCTTCAGCATTTGACATAATTCATCAACCTCTTTTTCCATATTATTATAAAACAATTCTCTCTTGTTTTTTCCTGTACCATTTTGAATATCTGTTCTCATTCACCTTTGCATTCTCCTGCTCTGTGTATTTCAGTATTGTAGTTCTTCAGGGTTTCACGTTTGTTTTTCTGTTCTTACTCTAGAATCTTTTCTTGAGTAATTTTTTCCAGTATCATGTCTTCAATCGCACCCAACGTATTACAGACTGCTCAAACTGTTTATTGAGTAGCTGTATATAGATCTTCTGCATACGGGTGTGTATTAGTCTGTTCTCACCCTGCTATAAATAACCACCTGATACTGGGTAATTTATGAAGAACAGATGTTTAATTGTGACTGGGAGGCCTCAGGAAACTTACAATCATGGCAGAAGGTGAAGAGGAAGCAAGCATGTCATGGCAAGGCAAGAGAGAGAGAGAGAATTTGGGGGGAAGTGCCACACTTTTAAACCATCAGATACCGTGAGAACTCACTCACTCTCCACCCCCATGATCCAATCACCTCCCACCAGATCCCTCCTTCAACATGTGGAGATTACAATTTGACATGAGATTTGGGTGGGGACACAGAACCAAACCATATCCGTGTCCAAAAGTGAATTCAGGTTGCCTAAAAAATTACTGTCTTTTTTCTACTTAAAATTTTCCATTACCTTCTTGATGAAGTTCAAATGTTTTAGTATATCGTATAAAATCCTTCAAGATGTTTCTGCCTGCTTTCCCAATGTTCATTCTTACCACTTTCATTCTTTTTCTGTGTTTCAGGCATATTATTTTATTTTAAATAACCTTCATTTTTATACTTTTCTGTCTTTGAACATTGTTCTATCACCCCCCCCAAAAATGCTCCACTTTAACAAGTTTTTGTCTGATTGGCTTATCAGTACTCTTAAAACAAGTTCTTAAATAACTTGTCTCAAATCAGTAGACCCTGAACCATATATGAAAATATTCCATAGCTGATACATTTTAGCTCTGTGTCTCCAACCAAATCTCATCTTAAATTTTAATTCACCTGTGTTGAAGGAGGAACCAGGAAGGAAGCAGTTGAATCATGGGGACAATTTTCTCCATGCTCTTTTCATTATAGTGAGTGAGTTCTCATCAGAGGTGATGGTTTTCAAGTGTGGCACTTCCTTATTCTCTCTCTCTCTCCTCCTGCCTTGTAAGACCTGCCTTGCTTCCCTTCACCTTCTGTTAGAATCCTAAATTTCCTGAGGTCTCCCTAGCCATGTGAAATTGTGGGTCAGTTGTACATCCTTTCTTTATATATTACCCGGTCTCAGGTATTATCTTTATAGTGCTGTGAGAATGGACTAATACAGATAATTCGTACCAACAGAGTGGGTTACTGCTATAAAGATAACTTGAAAATATGGAAGTAATTTTGGAACTGGGTAAATGGCAGAGGTTGGAACAGTTAGCAGGACTTAAGACAGGAAAATGAGGAAAAGTTTGCAACTTCCTAGAGACTTGTTGAATGGTTTTGACCAAAATGATAATAGTGATATGGACAGTGACATCAAGGCTGAGGTGGCTTCAGATGGAGATAAGGAACTTGTTGGAAAATCGAGCAAAGATCACTCACACTATGTTTTAGCAAAGAGACTAGTGGCATTTTGGTCCTGTCCTAGAGATCTATGAAATTTTGAATTTAAGAGACATGATTTAGGGTATCTGGCAGGAGAAATGTCTAAGGATTAAAGCATTCAAGAGGTGATCTGGATTGTTCTAAAAGTGTATAGATATATGTGTTCATAAAGAGATGACTTGAAATTGAAATTTGTATTTAAAAGGGAAGCAGAGCATAAAAGTTTCACAAATTTGCAGCCAGACCATGTGGTAGAAAATAAAATCCCAGTTGCTGGGGAGGAATTTAAACCTGCTGCAGAAATTTGTATAAGTAATGAGGAGCCAAACATGAATAATAAAGATAATGGGGGAAATGTCTCTAGGGCATGACAGAAACCTTTGGGGCAATCTCTTCCATCATAGGCCCAGAGACCCAGGAGAAATCAGTGATTTCATGGGCCAGGCCCAGGGCCCCCCTGCTCTGTGCAGCCTCAGGACTTAGTGCCCTTTGTCTAAGCCACTACAACTCCAGCTGTGTTTAAACCGGGCCAAGGTACAGGTTAGCCCATGGCTTCAGAGGGTGCAAGCCCCAAGCCTTGGTGGCTTCCCTGAGGTATTGGGCCTGTGGGTGTGAAGAAGACAAGAGTTGAGCTTTGGAGCCTCCACCTAGATTTCAGAGTATGTATGAAAACACTTGATGTCCAGGCAGAAGTTTCTACAGGAGTGGAACCCTCATGGAAAACCTCTACTAGGGCAATGCAGAGGGGAAATGTGGGGTTGCAGCTCCCACACAGAATACCTACTGTGGCACTGCCTAGTGGAGCTGTGAGAAAAGCAGCACCATCCTCCGGACCCCAGAATGGTAGATCCACTAACAGCTTGCACCGTGCACCTGGAAAAGCCACAGTCAATGTCAGCCTGTGAAAGAAGCTGCAAGAGCTGTAGCCTGCAGAGCCACAGGGAAGAGCTGCCCAAGGCCTTTTGAACTCAGCTCTTGCATCAGCATGCTGTGAATGTGAGACATGGTGTCAGAGGAGATTATTTTGGAGCATTTAGATTTAATGACTGTCCTGCCTGGTTTCAGGCTTGCATGGGACCTATGGTCCCTTTGTTTTCACAAATTTATCCCAGAAGGAATGGGCACATTTACCCAATGCCTGAACCCGCATTGTATCTTGAAAGTAACAGGCTTTTTTTATTTTATTTTATAGGCTTATAAGCAGAAGGGACTTTCCTTGTCTCACATGAAACTTTGAACTTGGACTTTTGAGTTAATGCTGGAATGAGTTAAGACTTCTGGGGACTGTTAGGAATTAATATGCTTTGTCTGTGTCCCCATTCAAATCTCATCTTGAATTGTAGTTCCCATAATCCCTATGTGTTGTGGGAGGGACCAGGTGGAGTTAATTGAATCATGGGGGCATTTTCTGCCATGCTGTTCTCATGATAATGAGTTCTCACAAAATCTGATGATTTTACAAGGGGCTTCCCCCTTTAGTTGGCACTCATTCTTCTCTCTCCTGCCATCTTGTGAAGAAAGATGTGTTTGCTTCCCCTTCTGCCATGATTGTAAGTTTCCTGAGGCCTCCACCACCCTGTAGAAGAGTGAGTCAGTTAAGCCTCTTTCCTTTATAAATTACTCAGTCTTGGATATGTTCTTATAGCATCATGAAAAAGGACTAATACAGTAAATTGATACCAGGTAGTGAGACACTGCTATAAGGATACCCAAAAATGTGGAAGCCACTTTGGAACTGGTTAACAGGCAGAGGTTGGAAGTTTGGAGGGATCAGAAGAAGACAGGAAGATGTGGGAACGTTTGGAACTTCCTAGAGACTTGTTGAATGGCTTTGACCAAAATGCTGATAGCGATATGAGCAATGAAGTCCAGGCTGAAGTCGTCTCAGATGGGGAGGAGAAACTTGTTGAGAACTAGAATAAAGGTGACTCTTTCTAAGTTTTAGCGTAGAGACTAGTGGCATTTTGCCCCTACATTAGAGATCTGTGAAACTTTGAACTTGAGAGAGATAATTTAGGGTGTCTGGCATGAGAAACTTCTAAACAGCAAAGCATTCAAGAGGGAACTTGGGTGCTGTTAAAAGAATTCAGGTTTATGTATAGACAAAGGTATGGTTGGGAATTGGAATTTATGTTTAAAAGGGAACCAGAGCATAAAAGTTTGAAAACTTTGAAGCCTAACAATGTGACACAAAATAAGAACCCACTTCCTAAGGAGAAATTCAAGCCAGCTGCAGAAATTTGCATGAGTAACAAGAAACAAATGTTAGTCACCAAAACTGTGGGGATAATGTCTCTAGGGTATGTCAGAGGTCTTCACAGCAGCCCCTCCCAACACAAGTCTGGAGACCTAGAAGAAAAAAAATGGTTTCATGGACCAGGCCCAGGGCCTTGCTGATTTTTGCAGTCTTGGGAATTGGTGCCCTGCATCCCAGCCATAGTTAAAAGGGGCCAATATACAGCTCAGGCAATGGTTTCAGAGGTACAAGCCCCAAACTTTGGCAATTTCCACATGGCGTTGAGCCTATGGGTGCACATAAGTGAAGAATTGAGGTTTGGGAACCTGCACCTAGATTTCTAAAGGATGTATGAAAACACCTGGGTATCTAGGCAGAAGTTAGCTGCAGGGGTGGAGCACTCATGTAGATCCTCTAGTAGTGCCATGTGGAAGTGAAATATAGGGTTGGAGCCCCCATAGAGTGCCCACTGGGGCACTGCCTAGTGGAGCTGTGAGAAGAGGGCCACTGCCCTCCAGACCCCAAAATGGTAGATCCACTGATAACTTGCACCATGAATCAGAAAAAGCTGCAAACACTCAATGTCAGCCTGAGAAGGCAGCTGGGAGGGGGCTTGTACCCAAAAACCACAGGGTCAGTGCTGTGAGAAGCCACCTCTTGCATCAGCATGACCTGGATGTGGGAACCCACCTTTTGCATCAGCATGGGAACCCACCTCTTGCATCAGCGTGACCTGGATGTGAGACATTGAGTCAGAGGAGATCTTTTCAGAGCTTTAACATTTGACTGCCCCAGTGGATTTCAGACTTCCATGGGACCTGTATCCCCTTCCTTTTTGGCCAATTTCTCCCATTTGGAGTGGGTGTATTTATTGAACGCCTATACCCCCACTGTTTCTAGGAAGTAACTAATTTGCATTTTTAACAGGCTCCTATGTAAAAGCGACTTGGACTTAGACTTTTGAGTTAATGCTGGAATGAATTAAGACTTTGGGGGAACGGTTGGAAGGACATGATTGTCTTTGAATTTTGAGAACATGAGATTTGGGAAGGGCCAGGTGTAGAATAATACAATTTGGCTGTGTCCCCACTCAATTGTTATCTTTAAATGTAAAATAGTTCCCAAAATCTTCCAATGCAATGGGAGGGACAAGGTAGAGATAATTGAATTATAGTGGCAGTTTCTGCCATGCTGTTCACATGATAGTGAGTTCTCACAAGATCTGATTGTTTTATAAGGGGCTTTTCCCTTCACTCAGCATTCATTCTTTTCTCTCCTGCTGCCTTGTGAAAAAGGATGGGTTTGCTTCTATTTCCACCATGATTGTAAGTTTCCTGAGGCCACCCAGCCCTGTGGAAGTGTGAGTCAATTAAACCTCTTTCCTTTATAAATTACTTAGTCTCGGGTATGTTCTTATAGCATTGTGAGATTGGACTAATGCAGGATAACATGATTGGGTTTGAAATGTAAAAAGGACATGAGATTTGGCAGGGGCTGGGGCAGAATGATATGGTTTTGCTTTGCATTCCCACCCAAACCTCATATCGAATTCTAATCCCCATGTGTTGAGGAAGTGACATGGTGGTGTGTCTGGATTTGGTGGGTTCTTGGTCTCACTGACTTCAAGAATGAAGCCGTGGACCCTCGCGGTGAGTGTTACAGTTCTTAAAAATGGTGTGTCTGGAGTTTGTTCCTTCTGATGTTCGGACGTGTTCAGAGTTTCTTCCTTCTGGGGGGTTTGTTGGTGTTGCTGGCTTCAGGAGTGAAGCTGCAGACCTTCGCGGTGAGCGTTACAGCTCTTAAGGCGGCATGTCTGGAGTTGTTTGTTCCTCCCATCCAGAGCTGTTCATTCCTCCAGGTGTGTTCATGGTCTCGCTGGCCTCAGGAGTGAAGCTGCAGACCTTCGCGGTGATTGTTACAGCTCCTAAAGGCAGGGTGGATCCAAACAGAGAGCAGCAGTAAGATTTATTGCAAAGAGCGAATCAACAAAGCTTCCACACTGTGGAAGGGAACCCGAGGGAGTTGCTGCTGCTGGCTCGAGCAGCCTGCTTTTATTCCCTTATCTGACCCCACCCACATCCTGCTGATTGGTCCATTTTACAGAGAGCTGATTAGCCCATTTTACAGATTGCTGATTGGTCCATTTTGACAGGGTGCTGATTGGTGTGTTTACAATCCCTCAGCTAGACACAGAGTGCTGATTGGTGCATTGACAATCCTCTAGCTAGAGGTAAAAGTTCTCCAAGTCCCCACTAGATTAGCCAGACAGAGTACTGATTGGTGCATTTACAAACCTTGAGCTAGACACAGGGTGCCGATTGGTGTCTTTACAAACCTGTAGCTAGACATAAATTTCTCCAAGTCTCCACCCAACTCAGGAGCCCAGCTGGCTTGGCCTAGTGGATCCTCCATCAGGGCCGCAGGCAGAGCTGCCTGCCAGTCCTGCGCCACGCACCTGCATTCCTCAGCCCTTGGGCTGTCCATGGGACTGGGCCCTGTGAAGCAGGGGGCGGCGCTCATCAGGGAGGCTCAGGCCATGCAGGAGCCCACGGCGGGGGGCAGGCTCGGGCATGGTTGGCTGCAGGTCTCGAGCCCTGCCCCGTGGGGAGGCAGCTGAGGCCTGGCAAGAATTTGAGCACAGTGCTGGTGGGCCAGCACTGCTGGAGGACCCGGCGCACCCTCTGCAGCTGCTGGCCCAGGTGCTAAGCCCCTCACTGCACAGGGCCGGCGGCACCGGCCGGCTGCTCTGAGTGCAGGGCCTGCCAAGCCCATGCCCACCCGGAACTCAGCCTGAGATCGCCACCCACAGCCCCGGTTCCCACCTGCGCCTCTCCCTCCACACCTCCCTGCAAGCAGAGGGAGCCAGCTCCGGCCTCAGCCAGCCCAGAGAGGGGGTCCCACAGTGCAGCGGTGGGCTGAAGGGCTCCTCATGCGTGGCCAGAGTGGGCACCGAGGCTGAAGAGGAGCCGACAGTGAGCTAGGGCTGCGAGGGCTGCCAGCACGCTGTCACCTCTCAGTGGGAGGTACTTTTATTACAAAGGTAATCTCCTCCATGTGGATGTCATGACAGTGAGTGAGTTCTCATGAGACCTGAGTGTTTTAAAGTGTGGCACTTTCTTTCTCTCTATTTTGCCACCATGTTAATGTGCCTTTCTTTCGGTTTGCCTTCCACCATAATTGTAAATTTCCTGAGGCCTCACCAGCCAAGCGGAACTGTGAGTCAATTAAACCTTATTTCTTTATAAAAAACCTAGTCTCTGGTAGTATCATTATAGCAGTGAGAATGGACTAATACAATGGCCGAATTAAATTTTACTCCTTCTGCTTATGTAATAGCCCTTCCATATCTTAGGGATTATAATACTTTGCTAATATCATGTACTTTTCCTGTATTATTTAATTTGGTGTTCTCATTATTTATAATTGTATTTAGCAGAATATACAATGCTTTTTGTGGTTAAATACAGAGATCTACCAATATTGTCTTATTTTTACTAACCAGGATAGTTTTAAACAGAAGTTAGCACAATTTTATTCAATTACTGTCTGAAAGAAACTTTTGTTTCTTTGCCATGATGAATTACCTGCATTCATATTAAATAATTCAATTGTATTTAAAATCTACTTAGCATAAATCTTCTCTGATTGTATTGTCTTCTGACAGCATTGTTTTGGCCAGTGTCTACTCATCCTGACTATTAGAAACTTGAATTCTAGGAATATATTGCCACAACAAATTTAAATTTTCTTTAAATGTATAGAATGAGAAATATATATCTCATTTAATCACAATGACAAATTAAGAAATTATTATCTCACTTGGCAGAAGAATAAAAATGCACATTACTGTTGAAAAAACTTGCTCTAAGTCATGCAAGTGGTAAGAAAATAAATCAGAATTTGAACTCATGAAACAAAACTGACAAATTCATTTTTCAAATTATAAAACAAAACTCATTAATTTTCTCCTTTTCAAAATTCTGCAATTTCAATTTCCTCTAACATTTTTCCTGTCTTTATTTTTATCTAATTTATTTTTATATAAATAATTTATTATTATTATCACTATCTATTTTCTCTATGAGTAATTACATGTGGTAGAACTTTCCTGTAGCTTTATGAGTAATAAAAATGTTTCTGGAAGCTACAAGATTTCTAATTATCTTATAAATTGCTCATCATGCTCATTATTAATCTCTGATCTATTATTCATAAATGTATATCTTCAAACGGCCAAAAAAGCCTTGGTGCAAACCCCATCTTTTTGTTTTTAAACTCCCAGTACTGGAGTGTATGTCTATAAAAATTCCTTCTTCAATGTGCAAAACATGTTACAGGCATTTTTAATGCACACATTTCTCCAAGGCTCTGAATGAATGCTCATGGGAAAACAGTTGTTAGCTCCTGAGTCCTTTGCAGTCAACAAGTGTAACTTTTTAATTGTTCATCCAGTATACTTGAATAAAAAACAAATTTTACTTTCTACTGAAGAGATCAAGAATTTCCATCCTTGTTAGTATATTGCCCAAATTATAAAAGTCACCAAAGCAAGTGAGAAAGTTTCTCATAAACTTATGGAAGGTCTTGCCTTCTAAGTATCCTGTTGCCTGCAAATCAATATATTACTCCCTGATATATTCTCTTCAAAAGAATATATCTGGGTCTTGTGTGTCCTGTATTTCTACACTGCTGATTGCTCCAAATAAGAAGTAAAGTTCATTTTTTGGATGCCAGAGAACCAATGTTTCAGTTTGGGTCAGTTTGGTTTAAACATAGTTCAGTTTGGTTTAAACATACATATTTATGTATGTCTAAATAATATGCCTTGGCTGAGCACAGTGGCTCATGCCTGTAATCCCAGCACTTTGGGAGGCCAAGGCAGGTGGATCACCTGAGGTCAGGAGTTCAAGACCAGCCTGGCCATCATGGTGAAACCCCGTCTGTACTAAAAATACAAAAAAAATCAGCCGGGCATGGCGACATGCACCTGTAATCCCAGCTACCCAGGGGTCTGAGGCGGGAGAATCACTGGAACCCAGGAGGCAGAGGCTGCAGTGAGCCGAGATCACACCACTGCACTCCAGCCTGGGTGACAGAGCAAGACTCTGTCTCAAAATAAATAAATAATAATAATATGCTTTAATTAGGTAAAACTTGTACCTACAGAATCACCATATATTTGAGGTTTGTTTTTTTATGTATGTTTTAATAACTTTCTTTCTCAAAATTCATCCTGTGATGTTGTTTTATGTGGTGGGGAGGGGGAGAAGCTACAGATAATATTTATAAAATCATATATATTGTAAAAGAAACTTATTGACAGAATATACAAATTGGTATAGATAAGATCTATAAATGCAATTGATTTAGATAATTATGCAGATGGATATTAACACATTTAAGTAGTGACATATATTTTAATATAATTACATGTATTCTAGGTAGGTCAAAAAATTAAAATAAATTTAAAAAACTCTTCAGATACTATGAAACACACTATGTTTTTCCAAAGACATTTACTTTGATTGCTAGATTCCTTATTTATAAAGCTATGCCTCTAGAGAAAATAAATCTATTAAGCAGCAATGTGATTTATTGAACTTATTTTCTTTATTAACCATAGTTGACCATATTATTGACTATTTTAAGCTAACATGTATTCTGTATCTGTAATATCTTATTAATGACTGAGAAGTTATTTAAAATTGAACCACAAATTATTGCCCTTACAAGTAAGCATACTTAGATTATCGTCCATAAACAAGGTAAACATGCATAATGTATGCATTTGGTGCAGTTGTTAGCAGACCTTCAAAATCAATATTTCTAATCTACTTTAATAGTATTTTAAGTAGTCTACCTCAAATCTTGAATAATAAATAAATCTGTGGTTTCCCATACACCACATTTTCTTTTTTGGAACACCAACAATGTGGCTACACTGCTTAAAATCATATATAGAATGTAAAGCCACAAAATACGGTAATCACTAATTAAATAAACAAAGCCACCACATGCATTTCAGAACAATTTAGGGTATGAATTTTACATAGATTATATTTCAAACTGTTGTTATATACTTATGGATTCTTAAAAAAATAAATATATAACATATTTTGAGCATGCATTTTGAGCACTTTAATGACCATCAATTCCTTAGGAATTGATGAAGATGTGCATAATTAATTATCAAAATTATCTTTTTTATTATACTTTAAGTTATGGGATACATGTGTAGAAAGTGCAGGTTTGTTACATGGGTATACATGTGCCACAGTGGTTTGCTGCACCCATAAACCCGCCACCTACATTAGATATTTCTCCTAATGCTATCCCTCCCCTTGTCCCCCACCCCCCGACAGGACCCAGTGTGTGATGTTTCTCTCCCTGTGCCCGTATGTCCTCATTTTTCAACTCCCACTTATGAGTGAGAACATGCTGTGTTTGGTGTCCTGTTCCTGTGTTAATTTGCTGAAAATGATGCTTTTCAGCTTCATCCATGTCCCTGCAAAGACATGAACTCATCTTTTTTATGGCTGCATAGTATTCCATGGTGTATATGTGCCATATTTTCTTTATCCAGTCTGTTTTGATGGACATTTGGGTTGGTTCCAAGTCATTGCTTTTCTGAATAGTGCTGCAATAAACAGAGGAGTGCACCTATCTTTATAGTAGAATGATTTATAGTTTTTTAGGTATATACTCAATAATGGGATTGCTGGGTCAAATGGTATTTCTGGTTCTAGATCCTTGAGGAATTGCCACATTGTCTTCCACAATGGTTGAAATAATTTACACTCCCACCAACAGTGTAAAAGCATTCCTATTTCTGTACATCCTCTCCAGCATCTGTTGTTTCCTGACTTTTTAATGATAGCCATTCCTAGTGGTGTAAGATGGTATCTCATTGTAGTTTTGATTTGCATTTCTCTAACGACCAGTGATAATGAGCTTTTTTTCATATGTTTGTTGGCCGCATGAATGTTTTCTTTTGAAAACTGTCTGTTCATATCCTTCTCCCACTTTTTGAAGAGGTTGTTTGTTTTCTTCTTGTACATTTGTTTAAGTTCCTTGTAGATTCTGGATATTAGCTCTTTGTCAGATGAGTAGATTGCAAAAATTTTCTCCCATTCTGTAGCTTGCCTGTTCACACTGATGATAGCTTCTTTTGCTGTGCGGAAGTTCTTCAGTTTAATTAGATCTTATTTGTCAATTTCAGCTTTTGCTGCAATTGTTTTTTGTGTTTTAGTCATGAAGTCTTTGCCCATGCCTATGTCCTGAATGGTATTGCCTAGGTTGCCAAATTGATTATTAAAATAATCTTTTCAGTTGAAAGCTTTGTTTTGGTTGTAAATCACTTTTTAAGGATGTATTTTTTCCTAGAAATTCTTAAAGTTGGCAAATTTTTAAAAACGTGTTATTGCTGAGAATAATTTCAAAGATCTTAATAGTTTAAAAACACTAAACATTTTGAAAGAAAGGGTATGCTAAAGCTACATGATTAAAACTAATTAATTATAAAAGTCAAATTGGAAAAATAAAGCATATTTTTAATAAGTAAAAATAATGTTATCTATAAATGTAAGTGTTAAGTGTTTATTTCAGAGTTCATACCAGAGCAAAATAGGCTCTCTTATTTTCAACAACATTTAAATCTTAAACCAGCAGCTCCAAGTTCTATCTGAGCTTTTATATCATTGGTCTCAATAAACCTTATTCACTTTACTTGTGCCAATAGAATATCTTACAACCCATAAAATATACATTTTTTAAAAAAAAATAATAGACCGCATTATCTTCTTGTGGTTTCCTTTTCAAACTGCAGATAGCTGGGGGCACAGGAAATACAAGGATGACATTGGTTTGCTATATTTTACACAGTGTGAGGTATTTTTTTTAAATGAGCAAATGTCAGTGAAATTAAGAAGGTTAAAGAAGCCAATAATAGTGACCAAATACATTATAATTAATTTTTAAAATATGTATTTGAGCCAAAAATGTTTGTTGCATGGAATATAATAGGATAAAAATGTCTTTGCCTATAACATATTTATAATGTATCTCCCAGATCTCCAAATACAGTCCTTTTGCATTGTAAAAGAGATATTGAACTGTTTTTTGCCTACACTAAAACATGTTGAAATAATTACCTATTCTTATATCCTGAAAATTGAATCAACAATGGAGCTGCGAGCATGGTACTATAAGAGTGAAGTGGCATTGGGAGTGAGGGCTGACAATTTTTGGCTGTACATTAGTACTTATGAGCCACTAAGGTGACATTTGCTGTGCTAGAAGAGGTCATTTACTAAATACACTATGAACCAAAACAGCAAATGCATATTCAGAATGTAAACTGTGAGTCCCTTATCACAATTAGGGCCAAGCACAGTTTAAACACATTTCAACTACTTGTAATTTACTTTTAATGTTGCAATTTTTAAAAGAACAGTCATCTTCATCATCTTAATATAACATTTTTATTTCAGAAAGGTATATAAAAAATAATCACCTTTTGTGTTTAACCAAGAATGCAGTTTTTATAGAGTGTATATTTAGATCATCATTCTAACGGCAATTAATAGAGTATGAAATGTTACAAATTGGAGAAGTCTTGTAGAAATATAATTTACAAGTTTCAAGATACTTTTACTAACAAAATATATTATTTTATGATATTTTCATTTTTTGTCTCTACTATGTAAAAGAAAATATCAACACTCTCTGATAATCTTGAGATATAATATTTTATCATTATTTACTAAACAAAAAGATAATGCCTGGGTTTTGTTTTAACTTTTAGCAGACTAAATTGACAGAAGGAATACTTTTGTCTCAATATAATTTTTTTTTATATTGGTCACAGCTTTACCTCTGCGGTAATCAGAGAAGGAAGAATTAACCTTGAGTATATTCTTTGGCAACCAATTATTTAAAAATATAGAAAAAATTCTTGTGCAATAGTTTCATCTGTTACTTTGAATTGCTGTCTGCCTTAATAATTCATTTTCATGTGAACAAATTTTGAGCACATCAAAATGCTAATCAGTTGTCAGAATAATACAGTATTCTATGCAGAATTCCCTTTTGTGGGAACAAACAGTAGGATCACCTTATATAACCTAGAAGAACATTTTCTTCCTAATTGGCAGAATATATCTGCCATTTTGTGGTGATTCTCTGCTGGTTATAACTAACTTTTGTTGTTTGTACATTTGATCACTGTTTTCTATCCATATGTTTGTGTGCATGTATTTAGTTACATGACATAGTAAAGATTATTTTTTATTTAGATGATGTAGCTATAGTAATTATTTGGATGTGGCTCTGTTACGCCCATTTGGCATTTGATTATTTCAATGGTCTTACAATTTCTTTTCAGATATACATATATAATCTGCTAGACACTAGAAGCCTGAATTCCAGGGACTCTCAATTGTTTGATTTTATATTTATAACATTCTGAGTGGCAAACACAAAAGTTGTTCAATGAATTAATGTTTAGAATGTAAAGATATTTCATAGTTCATGCTATTTACTTTTTCCTGATTTCCATAATTATATTATCCTTTTTTATTAGGTGTTAAGCCTACTCTTCTTCTGATCATTAAATATACTTAATAGAGAAAAAATATTTAAAAAAATAAAAATTTAGGATTCATAATCCTTACTATTTTGTAGACATAATTGTTAATATTCTTTATTACTTGCATATGTGTTTTAATTTACATAATATATGCAACTTTCACAGAACATAATTTTTGAAATTTTTTTATGTATATTATAATATAGGTATAATATTATAGTATTATATAATTCCGTTACACTGACATATATACAATTTACTCAAAATTACTGTTAATATCAAACATGAGAATGGTTTCTAATTTTCTTATGATAAATAACCTTTCAATGATCATCTTTGTCTACATATTTTGGAATGCATTTTGCCATTTTAAAAGTAATTTATTACTAAGATAAAACTGGTTCAAGATTGTTAGAAACTTAATGCTTTAGATATATAATTATATTATTTGTAATGTAGGGGAGGAGGGTTTTCCTCTACCCTGTTAAGGTCCCAAGATGGTTCTGAAAATAAAACTGACAAAAACAGATTAACATGAGAAAAACATACAAATTTATTCAAGTTTTACCTGGCACAGAAACCTTATAAATGAAGACCTAAAGAAACAGGGAGTCCTATATGTTTTTACGCATAGGTTTGATGAAGAGCAGACAGTTGTAGAGAAGTCTGATTGGACAAAAAGTGGTATGATCTAATAGTAATAGCTGAGGGGAACTTATCCAGGCCTGTTTGTTTAGATTCTTCTCTATATCCCTGTGTTTTCCAGGATAATGACACTCCTTTTCTCTAGGTATAGGGCGGGCATCTCTCACATGAAAATCTTATTACTTGTTCCAGGGGACAATCAGAGAATTATTTCTAAGTTTTATGACCTAGTTGAGGATAGAAGGGCAGCAAAAGCTTCACGGGAACGTACTGCTTCTATGACTCTCTAATTCCTTCAGCTACCCCAAAATATGGTACCCTGGCATACTGAGTATTTTAATACTGGCATACTCAGTATGCCATGTTGCCATATTTTGGGGTAGCATGCTGTAAGTCCCATCAGTACCAAGTCCATTCTTATTTATAGTCCCACTATGAGTTCATGAAAAGTACTGCCCAGCTTGTGCATCACTGTAACAAATGAAATTGTTTAATAGTTGCTACTTAGATCAAAATTATATATCTTGATTCTTAATGTGTTGAATATTTTGCATATTATTAACTAAATGTTTTATTTACCTAATTGTGAAAAGTGTCTTCATCTAATTTTCTATATTTTTTATTGTCTTAGAAGTCTAATTATTATGTTTTTCCTGTAATAACATTATTAATTTACTTATACATTTGGAAAAATATTTTTGTATTTTCTGTTTAACTTCTAATATTTTATAGACTTTTCAATGTGCATTTGCTTAAATATGCCTTTTCCAATTACTGTTGAAATATTGTTTCTAAAGTTATCAACTTACATAAATTTTCCTTTTAAGTTTCTGTTTGTAATCTACTTTTCAATAAATACTAGTTGAGCATTTATTATGTCTAACAATGTGTCAAACACTAGAGATTAAAAACAATTTCTAAATTATAGAAAATAATCTCAGGGATTTTAAGATCTATTAATGGAGAAAGGGAAAATAAAGCAAAAGCTACAGTATAGTGTAAAAAGTACAGTGACACAGGTATGAAAAGAGTGGAAACAGGAGGTGATATCTATTTGAAATTCAGGAGAGGAAGAGAACACTTCTTAGAGAAAATGACCTTTGCAATAGTCCCAAAAGCTGAATGAAACTGTAAATCAAAAACAAACTTCTAAGGCCCCCACTCATCTGAATAGACCCCTCCTCTCAGCCAAGGACATTCCAGAGTTAACCTGAAATACTAGTTAAGGCCGTGATGGAAGAGGAGTTCCAGTATGCCTCATTATACCCCTCCAGTATTAACATCATCACAGACCTTATGTGTGATAAGAAACATTCTCAATGTGCTCTCTCTGAAGCCTACTGCTTGGAGGCTTCATCTGCGTGATAAAACCTTGATCTCCACCACCTTTTATCATAACCCAGACATTTCTTTCTACTAATAATAACTCTTTCAACCAATTGCCAGTCAGAACATTTATAAATCCACCTATTACCTGGAACCCCCCCCATCTTCAAGTTGTCCCACCCCGTCCTTCCAGATCGAGTCAATGTATATCTTACATGTATTGATTGATGTATTCTGCCTCCCTAAAATGTATAAAAGCAAGGTGTACCCTGAGCACCTTGGGCACATGTTGTCAGGACTTCTTGAGGCTGTGTCACAGGCACATCCTTAACCTTGGCAAAATACACTTTCTAAATTGACTGAGACCTGTCTCAGATACTTTGGGTTCACAGAATGTAGCCTGGTGTGAGACAAAAGACAGGGATTCAAAGCAGAAGAACCTGTTTGCAAGTGCAAAGCTGATCAAAAGAGTACAGCTCAGTGTGTCAAAATCTGACACTGAGGTTTCTGTAGAAGAGAGAGGTATAGAACATTTCAGGAAATAAGTAAGAGGAAGGCCAGATTTTGAAGAGAATAGATGATGGTATTTGGACTTTATCTTGAAGGCAGTGGGAACATCAGTCAAGATTCAATGTGGAAAATGGCATCAGGGAGCAATGATTAATGGTAAAATCACCAGTTAGAATGCTGCATGTTCTCACTCATAGGTGGGAATTGAACAATGAGAACACATGGACACAAGAAGGGGAACACCACACACCGGGACCTGTTGTGGGGTGGGGGGAGGGGGGAGGGATAGCATTAGGAGATATACCTAATGTTAAATGATGAGTTAATGGGTGCAGCACACCAACATGGCACATGTATACATATGTAACTAACCTGCACGTTGTGCACACATACCCTAAAACTTAAAGTATAATAATAAAATAAAAGAATGCTGTTAAAACTCAGGCCCTAGTCAAATTACGTGAATTACCTACCAAAGACCTCAACATAAAATTGGAATATCAGTTTTCTCATTTAAGATGGAGATAGTAATCCCCACTACTAAGTTTTATTACAATGATTACATTAGATAGTTTATTTAAAAAATTCAAATTAAAATCAGGTATAGAATAAGCACTCAATGGAATAAATTAAAATGAAGTAAGTGATTAGAGTTCATGTCCTTTGCAGGGACATGGATGAAGCTGGAAACCATCATTCTCAGCAAACTATCACAAGAACAGAAAACCAAACTCTGCATGTTCTCACTCATAAGTGGGAGCTGAACAATGAGAACACATGGACATTGGGAGGGGAACATCACACACTGGGGCCTGTCGGGGGAGGGGGGCTGGGGAGGGATAACATTAGGAGAAATACCTAATGTAGGTGACAGGTTGATGGGTGCAGCAAACCACCATGGCACATGTTTACCTATGTAACAAAACTGCACGTTCTGCACACATACCCCAGAACTTAAAGTATAATAAAAAGAAATAAAACAAATTAAAATTTTAATGTTCAAGGAAACTAATTTATCCACTCCACAGTTTAAATAATTTTATCACTTCCTAAAACCAATTTATAATGTAACATCTGGAAATTCCAGCCTAGAAGCCTCACAAATTCATCAGAGACCACTTTAAATTATTTTGCATTATTCTACTTACAAATTCATCCCTCCTGCTTTACTTCCACTTCAATGAAGGGTGCTGGTCTATCACAGATAAACCAGAGGGATATTCTGAAAACTATATTTTGGAATTCACTAATTTCCACGTGCAAAATCTACACCAGGATCTGGTTCACTATGATAATTCCAATGCATTTAAAAAATGTATTTATTTTCTATTCACTGATACATTGTGTTTTTTCCTCTGTATAATTGTAGTTTATCTGAGATTTGGAAAGTGAAAACTTCAACAAAATAATTTTTAAGTGTGGGCATCTTAATACCACCAGTACTTGCTGAATTTCCTCGTTATAAAGTATTGTGTTGATTCTGCATAGGAATCTCTGTTTGTATTACTTTGATTTTTACTTCTCTGACTATTCTCTCTCCCAGAATTACTGTTTCATGGATATTTGATCATATATTCTGTGTCTGCTTTATTTTTGGTATCTTATTATTTCTCTTAAAAATTCTAAAATAATGTCTAATATTGACTTTTAAAAAAATAATATATGATATGTCATGCACTGTCTATTGCATTGCACAATCTGTCTCTTGTCAAAACTCCTCATTTCTGATTCAAGATCACAGGAAAATGCAATTAATATCATCTGTTTATTTAAATTTTTATTCTATTTTATGAAGGAATTTGTTACTTTGTTTTCTTAGCATTGTACATTTGTTTGGAAGTGGGTTTTTTTTTACATCTCTACTGATGTTTCTGTATTTTCTGATCTTTAGAGAAAGTGGCCTATGTTTGCACAATATTAGGTTTGGAATTGGATGCTGCATAAATTTATTCAACACATTGATCTGACAAAATAAAAGTGACAACCACAGTTTATCTAATTTCAGTTTGTTAGATCAAGGTTTTCTTGCCTGTAAGACATTAAGAGTAAGAAAATAGAAAGCTTGCTCTGCAAAGGGCATTTCCTGAGTCATGTTTTTCTTTTTTTGAAAAAACACCCTATGTAAAGTAACTTAAGAATCCTTCCCAAATAATTCTTGAAAATGACTTGTTCCCCTAAATTGTCCTGTGTGCTTCCTTTGCCATTAGTTTTTGGGACCTCAGGCAAAAATAGCAATTTCTCATGGAAGACAGAAAGTAGATGCAAGGAAAAAGTCATTTCATAGTCAGGGAATCCATTTTTATGCCAAGATATCTGGTGTTTTGCTTGTTTTACGCGTTGGGAGGAGCCTAAAAGTAGCTGTGATATGTCATTTCTTTATTCATCAATGTCTTATTTTGTCTATATTTTTCAATGTCTTATTTATTTATTTCTTAATTTGGTTTACAAAGTTTATGGGAGTGGTAACTTTTTTTAATAGCTTTATTTGGTTTTATTTCACACAAAAATTCCTGCATTTTTTAATGTTAAAATTTGATAAGTTTTGAAATATATTCTACTATCTATCTATATATACCTGTGGCATCATTTCTACATCCAAAATAATAAGAATGCCCGTTACCCCCCAAAATTTCCTCATACTCCTTTATAATCCCTTTCATCTTTCTCCACTGTTCCAGCCCTCTCCAGCCCTAGGTCACCACAAATCTGCCTTCTGTCACTATACATTAATTTGCATTTTCTGGAGTTCCATATACATGCAACCATAATGTGTACTTTTTTTTAATCTGTCTTCTTTCACTCAGCATAATTAGTTTGAGATTCATACATGTTGTTTCATGTATTGATAGTTCATTTTTACTGCTGTCTGGCTTATTGTATACATATAACATGATTTCTTTATCCATTCTCCTGTAGATCGACATTTGTTTCCAATTTTTTTGCTAGTTTCTCTGAACATTTATGAATAAATCTTTGTTTCTTTTATGTATGTGGCTCTATTTCTGGACTCTCTATTTTGCTCTGTTGATCTATTTGTCTATTGGCATGCCCTGCCCAGCCCACACAGTCTTGACTACTGAAGCTTTGTAATGAATCTTGAAATAAGGCAGTATTGCTCTTCAACTTTGTTCATTTTCAAAGTTGTTTTGACCATTGCAAGTCCTTTGTATTCCCATATGAGTTTTAAAATCTGCATGTAATTTCTAAAAAAGAAAGCCTGCAGTAATAGTAAATGGGATTGCACTAAATCTATATAACAATTTGAAAAGATTCTTATATCCTAGAAATATAGAGTATTCCAACACACAGACACAATATATCTCATATATTTCAGGCTGCTTTAATATATTGCTTTATTAACATTCCACATATATTGCTATATTTTATTTTATTCTTACTTTGGTTCAAAATACTTTCTAATTGCCTTTTTTATTTCTTCTTTGACTCATGGGTTTTTTATGTTTCCAAATATTTAGAGATTTTCTCAGTATTTTTCTATGATTGATTTCTAATTTCATTCTACTTTATTACGCGAATACTCTTTATATGACATGAATCCCTTGACATTTTTTGAGATTCGTTTTTTGTCTCAGGTCCAGGACGGGAAATGTTTCATGTGCATATGAAAATAATATGCATTATGCTATTGTTAGGTGAAACATTCTAAAATATCAGGTCAAGTAGTTGGATAATTTTGTTCAATCTTCCATGTCTTTACTGATTTTCTACCTACATGTTTGAATTGTGAATACAATTATTTCTTTAATAGTGCTATAAAATTTTGTTTTATGAATTTTGAATCTCTGTTATGAGGTACAAAACTAATCATGTTGTTCCCTCCTTTTGATGAATTGACTCTATCACATTACCAATTGATCTTTTTTATACCTGGCAATATTTAATTATCTGAAATCTACTTTGTCTGATGTTAGTATAGCCACTCCAAATTTATTTTTATTAGTTGTAGCATAATATATATTTCCAATGCTTTTATCTATCTGCATCTTTCTATTTAAATTGCATTTCGTGGGCTACATATGGTGGTTGACAATTGGCTATATTTTGTGTCTATGGTTTGTTTGTTTCCTTTCATTCAACTCTAAAAATGTGCCTTTTAACTGGGGGTATTGGGTGGTTTATATTTAATGTGATTATTGATATGGTTATATTTTATTCTACCATTTTGGTATTTGTTTTCTTATTGTCCCATCTTTTTAAAAAATATATCTCTCTTTTTCTCTGCCTTCTTTTTGATTGGGTAGTTTTATGATTCTATTAACTTATTAGTTATAACTTTTTTATTTTAATCATTTCTTTAGCTTTTATTGTATACATCATAACTTATTATAATCTACCTTAAAAATATCTTGTACCACTTTATGTAAAGTATCAAACGTTTACAATACTTTGCTTCCATTTCTTGTCTCCTGTTCTTGTGGTGTTATTTACATTTAACATTAAAAAACACACATTACTTTGTTATTATTTTTGTTTAAATAGTGAGTTTTTTAAAGATTTCAGTAATAAAAATATTATATATTTATTCATATAAATTATTTTTTGTATTCTTAATTCCTTTGTATACATCCATATTTCACTACGGTATTATGTTCCTTCTAACTGAAGGACTAAAAATTTTACAGATCAATCTGTGATAATAAGTTCTTTCAGATTTTTTTTTTTGTCTGGAAAAATTTTATATATTTGTTTAGTGAATATATTGTTGCTAGTTACAAAATTATAGTTTAATACAAAGTTTTCTTTTCTTTTCTTTTCCTTTTTTTTTTTTTTTTTTTTTGAGATGGAGTTTCACTCTTGTTGCCCAGGCTGGAGTGCAATGGCACGATCTCGGCTCACCACAACCTCCGCCTCCTGGGTTCAAGCGATTCTCCTGCCTCAGCCTGCCGAATAGCTGGGATTACAGGCATGAGCCACCACACCCAGCTAATTTTGTATTTTAGTAGAGACAGAGTTTATCCATGTTAGTCAGTCTGGTCGTGAACTCCCGACCTTAGGTGATCCATCTGCCTGGGCCTCCCAAAGCATTGGGATTATGGGTGTGAGCCACTGGGCCTGGCTGAACGTTTTCTTTCAGTACTTTAAAAATGTTTGTCTTTTTTTTTTTTCACTTTGATTTGTGTTTTCATGAGAAATCTGACATGCTTTTTTCTCTAGCTGCCATTAATATTTTCTTTTTATAGCTTAGCACAATTTTATTTTGTGGTTTAGTTCTTGGGGCTCCTATTTCCTGGGCTTTGGGTGTGTTGAGGTATATAGATCTGTGTGTTTGTATTTTCCAAACTTAGAAAATTTGTAGCCAGTATTTTCTCAAATATTTTTCTTCCTTTAGTCTTTCTTCAGAAATTCCAATTATACATATTTGAGGCTGCCTGCAATTCTTTTCTTTAATTGGCAGCACCACTCTAAAGAGGAGCTCAAGCTAGACAATGCTGTCATTCAATTAGACCTTATTGCCAAGAGAGAGAGAAATCCTGAGGCCAGAGGTTTTGTAAGATTTTGATTGGAAATGAAGTTAACAACAGCAACAACAACAACAACCATATTTTATATAGTTTATATTATATATACATAATTTTAAAACTTCTAATATCTTTATAATTCTGATATTTCTCATTTGGGAACATGGTATCTACTAAATTATTAAAGTATTTGCTTTAATTAATCTCTGTAAAATTATTTCTTAGCATCTAAGTTCTTGACATTTTATCTCATTCAGCAAATGAGGTATTTGTCTAAGAAAAGACAAGCATTTATATTTTAAAATGATTTATTTCATATTTAAATCATTTTTAAATATAAATGCTTGTATTTTATTATACAAATGCTCCTCAATTTAAAATGTGATGTGTTCTGATAAACCCATTGTAAGTTGAAAATATAGTCAAAAATGTAATTAATATATCTAGCCTACAAGATACATAATAGCTTACACTAGCCTACCTTAAACATCTCAGAACATTTATATTAGCCTACAGTTGGGCAAAATCATCTAGCAAAAAGCTTATTTTATAATAAAGTGTTGAATATCTTAAGTATAATTTGTTGAAATATATTACATCAAATTTGCAACAGTTTTGCATCATTATAAAGTTGAAAAATAAGGATTCCCGGGCAAGACAGCCGAACGCAAAAAGCTCCAGTCTGCAGCTCCCAGCAAGACCAATGCAGAGGGTAGGTGATTTCTGGATTTCAAACTGAGGTACCAGGTTCATCTCACTGGGACTGCTTAGACGGTGGGTGCAGCCCATGGAGGGCTAGCAGAAGCAGGGTGGGGCATTGCGCTACCCAGGAATCACAAGGGGTCAGGGAACTCCCTCCCCTAGCCAAGGGAAGCCATGAGGGACTGGGACTCCCCTAGCCAAGGGAAGCCATGGGGGACGGCACTGTCCGGCCCAGATACTACGCTTTCCCCATGGTCTTTGCAACCCACAGACCAGGAGATTCCCTTGGGTGGCTACACCACCAGGGCCCTAGGTTTCAAGCACAAAACTGAGCAGCTGTTTGGGCAGAAAAGGAGCTACCTGCAGGAGTTTTTTTTCATACCCCAGTGATGCCTGGAATGCCAGTGAGACAGAACTGTTTACTCCCCTGGACAGGAGGCTGAAGCCAGGGAGCCAGGTGGTCTTGCTTAGCAGATCCCACCCCCATGGAGCCCAACAAGCTGAGATCCACTGGGATGAAATTCTCAATTGCAGCACTGCAGTCTGAAGTCGACCTGGGATATTTGAACTTGGTGGGGAGAGAGCCGAGGCTTAAGTAGGTGGTTTTCTCCTCACATTGTAAACAAAGCCTCCAGGAAGTTCGAACTGTGTGTGGAACCCACTGTAGTGCAGCAAAGCCGCTGTAGCCAAACTGCATCTCTAGATTCCTCCTCTCTGGGCAGGGCATCTCTGAAAGAAAGGCAGCAGCCCCAGACAGAGACTTATAGATAAAACTCCCATCTCCCTGTGACCCAGCACCTGGGGGTAGGGGCAGCAGTGGGCTCACCTTCAGCAGACTTAAACATTCCTGCCTGCTGGCTCTGAAGAGAGCAGCAGATCTTCAAGCATAGTGCTTGAGCTCTGCTAACAGACACACTGGCTCCTTAAGTGGGTCCCTGATCCCCGTTCCTCATTACTGGGTAACACCTCCCAGCAGGGGTCGACAGACACTTCATATATGAGAGCTCTGGCTGGGATCTGGTGAGCGCCCCTCCCTCTGGGATGAAGCTTCCAGAGGAAGAAGCAGGCAGCAACCTGTGCTGTGCTGCAGCACCCATTGTTGATACCCAGGCATAAAAGGTTCTGGAGTGGACCTCTAGCAAACTCCAGCAGACCTGCAGAAGAGGGGCTGGACTGTTAGGAGAAAAAATAACAAACAGAAAGCAATAGTGTCAACATCAACAAGAGATGCCCATGCAGAAACCCCATCTGAAGTCACCAACATCGAAGACCAAAGGTAGATAAATCCAAGAAAATGAGAATAAAACAGCATAAAAAGGCTGAAAATTCCTAAAACCAGAATGCCTCTTCTCCTCCAAAGGATCACAACTCCTCACCAGCAAGGGAACAAAACTGGACAGAGAGTGAATTTGATGAATTGAGAGAAGTAGGCTTCAGAAGGTGGATAATTACAAATTCCTTTGAGCTAAAGGATCATGTTCTAACCCAAAGCAAGGAAGCTAGGAACCTTGATAAAAAGTTACAGGAACTACTAACTAGAATAACCAGTTTAGAGAAGAACATAAATGACCTGTTGGAGCTCAGAATACAGCACGAGAACTTCATGAAGCATAGACAAGTATCAATAGCCAAATCGATCAAGCAGAAGAAAAGATATCAGAGATTGAAGATCAACTTAATGAAATAAAGCATGAAGACAAGATTAGAGAAAAAAGAAGGTAAAGGAACAAACAAAGCCTCCAAGAAATATGGCACTATGTGAAAAGACCAAACCTAAGTTTGATTGGTGTATCTGAAAGTGACAGGGAGAATGGAACCAAGTTGGAAAACACATTTCAGGAGAAAGTCCCCAGCCTAGCAACACAGGACAACATTCCAATTCAGGAAATACAGACAATACCAGGAAGATAGTGCTCAAGAAGAGTAATCCCAACACACATAATCATCAGATTCACCAAGGTTGAAATAAAGAAAAAAATGTTAAGGGCAGCCAGAGAGAAATGTTGGGTTACTCACAAAGGGAATCCCATTAGACTAACAGCAGATCTCTCTGCAGAAACCCTAAAAGCCAGAAGACAGAGGGGGACAATATTCAACATTCGTAAAGAAAACAATTTTCAACCCAGAATTTTATATCCAGCCAAGCTAATAAAATTATTTACAGAGAAGTAAATGCTGAGAGATTTTGTCACCACCAGGCCTGCCTTACAAGAGCTCCTGAAGGAAGCACTAAATATGGGAAGGAAAAAAACCTGGCACCAGCCACTTCAAAAACACCAAAATGTAAAGACCAATGACACTATGAAGAAACTTCATCAACCAATGGGAAAAATAACCAGCTAGCATCATAATGACAGTATCGAATAACACATAACAATATTAACCTTAAATGTAAATGGGCTAAATGCCCAAATTAAAAGACAGACCGGCAAATTGGATAAAAAGTCAGGACCCATCAGTGTGCTGTATTCAGGAGACCCATCTCATGTGCAAAGACACATATAGGCTCAAAATAAAGAGATGGAGGAATATTTACTAAGCAAATGGAAAGCAAAAAATGCAGGGGTTGCAATACTAGTCTCTGATAAAAAAGACTTTAAACCAACAAAGATTAAAAAAAGACAAAGAAGGGCGTTACATAATGGTAAAGGGATCAATGCAACAAGAAAAGCTAACTATCCTAAAAATATATGCACCCAATACAGGGCCCTCCAGATTCATAAAGCAAGTTCTTAGAAACCTACAAAAAGACTTAGACTCCCAAACAATAATATTGAGAGACTTTAATATGCACTGTCAATATTAGACAGATCAATGAAAGAGAAAATTAACAAGGATTTTCAGGACTTGAAATCAGTTCTGGACCAAGCAGACCTAATAGACATCTACAGAACTCTCCAAACCAAATCAACAGAATATACATTCTTCTCAGCACCACATAGAACTCTTTCTAAAATTGACCAAATATTTTGAAGTAAAACACTCCTCAGCAAATGCAAAAGAACACAAATCATAACAAACAGTCACTTAGACCATGGTGTAATCAAATTAGAACTCAGGATTAAGAAACTCACTCAAAACCACAAAACTAAATGGAAACTGAGCAACCTGCTCCTGAATGACTACTGGGTAAATAATGAAATTAAGGCAGAAATAAATAAGTTATATGAAACCACTGAGAACAAAGACACAATGTACCAGAATCTCTGAAACACAGCTAAAGTAGTGTGTAGAGGGAAATTTATAGCACTAAATGCCCACATGAGAAAGCGGGAAAGATCTAAAATTGACACCCAAACATCAAAATGAAAAGAACTAGAGAAGCAAGAACAAACAAATTAAAAAACTAGCAGAAGACAAAAAATAACTAAGATCAGAGCAGAACAGAAGGAGATGAAGACATGAAAACCCTCCAAGTAATCAATGAATCCAGGAGCTGATTTTTTGAAAAGATTAACAAAATAGATTGCTAGCCAGACTAATAAAGAAGAAAAGAGAGAAGAATCAAATAGATACAATAAAAAATGATAAAGGGGATATCACCACTGATTCCACAGAAATACAGACTACCATCAGAGAATACTGTAAACAACTCTATGCAAACAAACTAGAAAATTTAGAAGAAATGGATAAATTCCTGGACACATACACCTCCACAAGACTAAACAAGGAAGAAGTAGAATCCATGAATAGACCAACAACAAGTTCTGAAATTGAG